>NT_167215.1:0-155397 GCF_000001405.40 Homo sapiens
GAATTCGTTGAGGAGCTTCTGGAAAGTGCACATTCTGACTCAGCAGGTATTGGAGTCTGCATTTCTCATGAGCACTTAGGTGATGTTTGTGCTGGTCCTTGGACACAGCTCTGAATAGCAAGGGAATAGCTTTCCTTTAGAGAAATCTGGAAAAAGAACCACTGGAGAGCAATTTAAAAAATAACAGAATCCAGGGAAAGCTTTAATTTCCTTTTATTTCTGAGCATGATTCTAGCCACAGGGGAAGGAAAATGAGATGAAAAAAGAGAGATTACAGGTGTATACTACTGCTGAATACAGATGAAAAAAGTGGTCACAATCATCCATAAAAAGCAGTTAGGAAGGGAAGCATCAGGATGACAGTTCTGATAATCATTTTTTCAAAGGAAGAGGGATGGTGAAAGGACACAAAAGGAGGAAAGAAGGACATTTGCTGGGGTCTTGGGAGTTAAAGCCAAGTAAACTTGAGACAACTCACTTCCAGTTGCTTCAGCATATGCCCAGTCTCACAAAAGAGGTTATTGCTGTGGAGAGTACTGGAGACAGGAGGGAGTGCTAGAGTTGGGGTAAACCACAGCAGCTCATTTCACTTGATAACTGTCAGGCCTCAGGGAGAGAAGTTTAACTGACATGAGTGAATAAGATATGATTAAGTTGCATATAGATGCTTTGGCGAAATTTTTTTGAGACAGCCAGTTCTTTGATATGATAGCTGTTTTATAAAAGTCCTTTACAGTGTAAGATAATATACCAAACTTAGTTAATTTTAGAAGTAATCATAAAATTCATTCCATGAAAACCAAAATTATCATTTTCAATAAATACTGCACTGATTTTGAAATATAAATATGTATTAATATCCAGCAAGTCTGTGGTCATTCAATGTTTTCTTTTTTGATAAATATTTTGATATCAGAAGCTTATTCGACATGGTTTATTTGATGTGTTTTATGGACCACCTTGCATGAGTGGATCAAGGAGCTCTAATTCAAGGCCAAATGAGGGGATAGGAGAAATGTAGGTGCTGCAGTAGCCCATGTGATCATGGGAAAAATGAGTAGTTTGATTAGCTGTTATTTCATAAGTGTGTATCCTAGCTGATCAATGTAGAACCCTTTCTTTGATGAGAGGTGAATCCCACATTCATCTGAACTGTCATCCCAACTGCGTATTTCCTCAGTGACAAGACAAGGGGAATTTATTTGTGCTGTGCTGGCAGCAATGCCTCTGGTGTGTGGAGTTAAAATACTCTGTACATTCACCATCAGCTTTGACATTGATTCTCTCAGGTTTGATTTGCCCCTCTGTTTAATGGTCCCTTTTCTCCTCATCAGTCCACGTGTTCACGGTTATATCAATGCTTTTCTATTTTAAGTATAGGCATTTGAAACATAATCTCACTAACGAAATGTAAACTGTGCATTTTGGGAATCCTATATTCCTATTTTCCTCATTGTGTTTCTGTCATGTTGCTGTCCTAGGCAATGAAAAGAAGAAGCCAAGAAGAACCCTCAAAACCTTAAGTAATTATTTTTATAGCCAGGCCTGAGAATTCAGCTCGACAGTAACACTGCATGAATGTTTGGTTGGCCCTGTCATACTTACATATAATTGATGACATATCCCCTTTGCTTTGCAGGGCCTCCTGCAAAACATCCTTCCTTGAAGTTAATTAATTATGTATATTTTTGAATCACTAACTCCATGTTGTATAAAATATATATGATTTATGAATCGTTTTCTTTTAAAACCCATTCAGCCTAGCACTGAAGTGGAAGATCCTGCTGTGAAAGGAGCAGTACAAAGAAAGAATGTACAGACATTGAGAGCAGGTACATTTAATGGAATACTGTAAATAAAGTACATTCAATGATTGGATGTACTCATATTATTCTTATTCCTAATTCTATTTGTTCAATATTGAACAGAAGGCTTTGACATAAATGTTATTGTTGGTATCCATATTTGAATAAAAACAAATTTAGAAGCATAAAAAAGATTTTAAAAATGTAAGCTTTAGGTCAGATGTTTCTGTTTTAATGTTTTGAATAGCATGAAGTTTTCAGTATAAAATTTTTATACTTGTCAGGGATTCAAAGCAGTGAATTTTGAGACTCTTAAGATATTTCCAGTGAGTTAAGTGCTAGTTGGAGTTCTGATCTTTACCTAGAGGAAAGCTTTACTTATTAAAGTGTCAGTTTCTGTTTTAACTTCAGAGGCTTGCTGCTAGTGTTATTACACTGATGATCTGAAGCCTATCAGATGTTCTAATGAGTAAGACTGTGTGTGTAGGTGTATATATAGATGTGTGTATGCGTGCGCTTGTGGCATCTTTGACTACTACAAATGATGAAAGTAATGATTCATTTATGACTGGTAGACACAGCCTTTTAAAATGGTGATTTTGAGCCTTTTTGGTGTTAAAGTTTTTAAAACATGATTGCATAGAGGCTACCAACATCATAAGTCGGTTGTTTTTCATTTCAATGCCCTTTTGAAATCTTTAACTACATTGTGATGCTCAGAAATAATATGCAGAATTTTTTGTGTCCTAAAATGGTATGTGAGAGGTTATACAGTTTATATACCTTTCTGCCACTTTCTTTGGTGTGTTTTGTATTATACTTTCCACTTGTACCCACATTGGTGTGATTATCTCTGGTTTAATTCATTTTACACTGTTCATTGTATTCCCTCATACCACTTTACCACATTTAGTTAGACTCTCCTGTTGCTGATAAATGAAGAAATAAAAAGAAAAATAATGTCAGATTAAGAGGGCTTTTCTTTAATCGGTTTGTATCTATTAGCATTTACTATATGAGAGTTTAAACCTGAAAAGTTCAGAATACAAGCATGCACCACCATATTTTATTAATGCCCTTAGAACTATGACTCATGAGCCTTTAGCCTATGAAGTTAGGACAATTCATTTCTCTGAAGAAGAATGCTGGGCTGTTCTCAGAAAAGAAAACTGAAAATAGCAAATGATATTGTCTTATTTTACCTCTTGGACATCCTTGAATGAAACTGCTACTAAAGGGATACTCGGATCAAAATTCAGATCTAATGTTTTGAACAGTATAGTTTGTGAATGTCCAGTGATCATGAGCCCTTGATGGGGAAATGACCTTTCGAGTTTCACTTTTGCATTTTTTGCTCTTTTCGTTGACTTGTCTTGAAAGCTTAAATTCAACTATTTTATTTTTACAGAAACCAGGAATATAACTTTTAAAATATATGTCTGTCCTGTCTCACGGTGTTGTGTACTCTTCAGATCTTGTATGAACATAGACTTATATGGGAACAATTAGGTTTTTTGTTTGTTTGTTTGTGTTTTTGAGGCAGAGTCTTGCTCTGTCACCAAGGCTGGAGTGCAGTGGCTCAGTCTTGGCTCATTACCACCTCTGCCTCTCGGGTTCAAGCAATTCTCCTGCCTCAGCCCCTCGAGTAGCTGATACTACATGCACGTGCTACCATACCCTGCTAATTTTTCTATTTTTAGTAGAGATGGGGTTTCACCAGTTTGGCCAGGCTGCTCTTGAACTCCTGACCTCAGGTGATCTGCCCACCTCGGCTTGTCAATGTGCTGGGATTACAGGTGGGAGCCACTGTGCCAGCTAAAAATAAGATTTTTAAGGCTATTATATTTTATACAATTCTTTGGTCTATGTGAATTCTGAAGGTATTCATGCATTGAGGGAAGATTATCTCAGTTTAATGAAAGCAGTTTTTAATTTAACGTATATTCATTAAATTTTTTTTGAAGTTTTTGTCTCTAGTACACAGAAACACACAATAATGTCATGGGTATTTGACCTTAATGTGTTTATGCACAAACTTAGTTATTCAAATATTTTCTTATCCCTGAAGAATCTTAATTACTAATAAACAAATTTCTCATGGAAAACAACATATATAACAGAGATGGTTGAGTGATTGAAAGTAAACTGTAGTAAATACCAGAAGCTTAGAACAAGTTAAGTAAACTTGTCTGAGTTAATAGCAATTACAAGACTTTTAAAATACATTAGACCACGGGGGAGTAGTGCATTTGTGGGGTAGAGGACAACATGGTACTGCTTCAGTGAAGAAAGAACTTTTACACTTTATTACAATTTGTATTATTATTTACATTCTAATAAATAAAAACTTTATTTTCAGATATTTTACATCATGTTTCTACTAGTTGAACCATCAATAGTAAGACTTTTCAAAGATTTGGGAAGTTGTGAGTTGATGATAAATATCTGTATCACCATCAGTGATCAAAAATCAGACAGCAACTACCACAGATTTTGGACACGCGAACTTCATAGTTAAAGAAAGGATTAATCTTGGAGCTGTGTTTCTATCAAGGAATTACACTCTTCATTACCTGTGTGAATCGCAGTTATTAGAGTAGAAAGAGAGCAAAGAAGGAAAAGAAGCATAGAAAATTTTATTGTAGATTACCTCGTTTGGCTTCATGCTACCGTAGTTCTGACTTTTAAAGAGTCATTTTGTGGTCAAATGTACTTTGTGTTCACTCCCCTTATGCAGCCTACAACCAAACAGAATGGTTCTTAGCAAGGCATTTGTATTCTTCCCTTAAGGAAAGCAACATATAAATAACAAAGAGAATGAGAAGAAAGAGTGATTTCATTGAGGTTGGTATTTAACATAAATTTGAGTGCAGGTACCATGATTATATTTAGAATTTTGTGGCTGGATGGGAAAACCAGCTAGATGTCTATAGATTTCCTACTCAAACAAAATGTGCCTTTGTTTTACTTTTACGTCTCTAATTTAGCAATTATTAGGTACAACTGTATGCAGTGTCACTAAAAATACCTCCCAAAACCAAATATTAAATAATGTCTATGGCTTTCTGTTTTATAGTGTTGATTTTCCCAATATTAATGGGAACCACTGAGCATTTGCCTTGTGGTGTCTCCTCAGCTGTATTCACATATTCCATCACCTTTTCTTAATGGATAATCATGCGCTATGAGTAAGGGTTTTCAGAAAAGCTGTGTCATTTAAAGATAACACAGGAGCATCAAATTTAATTCTGCTAGGACGCCTGGTCTACTGATTAACTGCAGCTAATATGAGGTCTACTTCACATCCAAGTTAAATTCAGTGCCCTTAATCAGTCATATGATGAGGTCAACAGTAATAAATTATGCAATATTTTTTCACCCACCCCTATAGTTTTAATTTCTTTTTCCCCTTGTGTCTGTGTTTAACATTTTGCTTTGCAAAACATGATGATAATCTTCTAGAGTAGTGAGGACAAGCTATAAATCCAAAGTTTCTTACCTATGCAAATGACTTGTTTGCTCTATTTTCTCATGAGCTTGGTAGATCCAGGAAACAGAACTTTTAAAACAAAATCACCATATGTTGCTGGGTGCGGTGGCTAGTGCCTGTAATCCCAGCACTTTGGGAGGCTGAGGCGGGCAGATAACCTGAGGTTGGGAGTTTGAGACCAGCCTGACCAACATGGAGAAACCCATCTCTACTAAAAACACAAAATTAGCTGTTCATGGTGGCACATGCCTGTAATTCCAGCTACTTGGGAGGCTGAGGCAGGAGAATCGCTTGAACCCAGGAGGCAGAGGTTGCCATGAGCTGAGATCACACCATTGCACTTCAGACTGGGCAGGAAGAGTGAAATTCCATCTCAAAAAACAAAAACAACCACAACCACAACCACAACAACCACCACAAAACCCAAATGCATTTCCTTGGCACAGTAAAACTGAAACAGAAAAAGGGTAAAGTAAATACAAGTAACTGAAAGAGTTTATGTATATTATTTTACTTCTCATTTGATTGATAAAATTTGTAAAGTAATGAGCGAGTGTATTTCTCCAGGGACCCAGATATATACATTTATTTATTCAATAGAAATTCATTCTTATAATGGCCACTGATACCTATATCCTAAATATTTCTGAAAACATCTCCTCAGGCCTGCATCATCTTTGCAACATTGCCTTATATTTTATCTTTGTTCATTGATTTATATGCCTCAGAATTTTATGCTCCTCACAGTATTTAGAGTGAATTATCCCTAATGCAAATAGATCCGTGAACCGTTCCTGAATACCTAATGTCCAAGCATCTTAAAGGTTTATATAAGGATTTCAGAAACTGACTTCTGGGTAGGGCACGGTGGCTCATGTCTGTGATCCCAGCACTTTGGGAGGCTGAGGCAAGTGGATCATTTGAGGTCAGGAGTTCAAGACCAGCCTGGCCAACAAGGTGAAACCCCATCTCTAATAAAATACAAAAATTAGCAGGTGGTAGTGGCACGCACCTGTAATCTCAGCTACTCAGGAGGCTGAGGCAGGAGAATTACTTGAACCTGGGAGGCCGGGTTGCAGTAAGCTGAGATCATGCCACTGCCCTCCAGTCTGGGAGACAGAGTATAACCTTGTCCCAAAAAAGAAAAGAAAAGGAAACTGATTTCTGCCCAAATCTCCATCTGTATCCCTTTCCCCATCTGCCTTTTTCTCTGGAATTACCGAGCTGCTGGTAATGGCCCCCTCACCATTCCTCTTCTGCAGAGAAATACATACTCTCTTGGAGGCTTCTTGTCTTCTCTTGTTGCTGCCTGGCATGTGCTCACCCTTTCCTGCCCTCTGCCTCGCTTAATCTGGCTAACCTCACTCTCTAAGTCTCAGCTCATGGATGATCTTTAGGAAAGCCATCCCCGACAGCTTCTATTTTCCTTCCTTATTCCCCAGTGCCTAACACTTAGCAGGAACTCAATAAGTAATTATTTAGCAAAATTAAGACTGTTTATACAAAGATGATTCAAAAGATTGTCCTCTACAGTCTAGCAGCAAAGGGGTCAACATGTAAAGACATGATGTGCAGGTCAGGTGGTAAAGTGACACTAGAAAAATTGACAAGGTACTAAGGGACCCCAACGAAGCAGACACCTGTGTGTGTGGAGAAAGATAGCTAGAATCAAGGAAGATTTCACAAAGCATTCTGAGCCTTTTTTTTTCCTCTTTTTGGAGACAAGTTCTTACTCTATCACCCAGGATTGGAGTGCAATGACATTATTGAGACTCACTGAAACCTCAGACTCCTGGGCTCGAGGGATCTTCTCATCTAAGCTTCTTGAGTAGCGGGGACAACAGGAACATATCACCATACCTGTCTAATTTTTTGTAGAGTCAAGGTTACCTATGGTTCCCAGGCTGGTCTTAAACTCTTGGCCTTGAGCAATTCTCCCATTTTGGCCTTCCAAAGTGCTGGGTTTACAGATGAGAGCTATTATGCCCAGCCTACTTTCTGAGTCTTAAAAGATGAAAATAAATTTTTCAGAATAGCAGGGGAAAACATTTGTGATGTAAAAAATGGGGTGCACACTAATTGAGGTATAAAGAACAATAATTTTGCAAATTATTAGTAACTGCCAACTCAATTAGTGTCTTGTTAAAAAGATACTGTTATGAAGTATAATAAAGCATTACATTGTATATTTTGACTGTATTTCAAATTTCTGTTTTGTTTCTAACAGTTTTGTTGACTTATGTTGGGTGGAACAATTTGTGAGTGACCCTGAGATTTTGCATGGCTTGAATCTGGTGATATCTGGTGTCTCCCCAAGTGGTTTGTTGAAGTTTTGGATAATTAGAAGTATTTCTTACAGAAGTAAATATTTCAGTAAACATTGTTTCATTCAAACTCTCAAAATATAAAATACAAAGAAATGTTATTCTCTATTTATTTTTATAAAGATTATAGTCTTTAACTCTTCTTAGTTCATTTGAACTAAATCAATGAATTTGTCAACAGAACAAACCTTACCAGTGGCTTTAGAGGAAGAGCAAGAAAGGTGTGAAAGAAGTGAAAAGAAGCAATCACAGGTATATGAAAATTTAAGTTCTTGTTTAATATTAGGTTTTTTGTTTTGCTTTACTAACAAAGCATAGTCCAAATGACATGACCTTTCAGACTATACCTTTAGAACCCAATAGATCATAATTTTATATGTAATTTTTAAAACATCTTAACCAGTTATGAAACTTAAGATATTCTTACTATCTCTAGTAACTATTAGTTATTCTAGTAATTCTTAGTATCTCTAGTAACTCATAGCTGTCTTTACCCTTGGAATTGAGGCAAGAAATTTTCAGAATTATCTTGCTGTTTTATTTATATAACCTTACTCATAATACACAAGGTAACATGAAGTATTGGGTCATATTACTGAGGAATAGAAATTATGAACAGTTTAACAACAATGGCCACTGAGTTAAACTAGTGTTAAAGGAGTCATCATTGCCAGTGCTTCAAATGTTGCAGTTTTATATTGCTGGTCACCAGTGCCGAGGTTAAAGATTTATTCTGTTTTGTGGTCACCAGTTGACTTCTGTGTCTGTGTTCAGGGAGTGAATGGGGTCATAAAAGTCAATGCAGTTGCCTATTAAGAGAATCCTACCTTGCAGAATGGGATCTTTGGTGTCAGGGTGTGAACAATAACTTTATTTCAACATAAATACATAGTAAACATTACTAAAATTTAAAAAATCCAAACCCTATCACTACCGGAACTTAAAATGTATTAGAAGCGGATATAAGCAGAAATTCTATCTAGATACATAACACTATCATAGTATATCATTTGAATTAGAATTTAAAATTTTGCTTCTCTTTCTTATTGGTGTTCAGTTTAGCTCTTAATAATTTAGTGTTTGCCTAGTGCTCTAGTTAATCTTCAGAAATAAACATGCACTGTAGGGGCTCACTCTTTCTGGTATGCTGAGGTAAAGTCTTTGTAAGAGAGGAAGCTTTTATAATACTACCTATCATCTTTGAATTCATTTCTGGTAGATTTTACACAAATGCATTAAGTTTAGTCCAAACAGACACTGAGAGTTCAGCTTGCTGGTTCATGTTTCTGTCCTATGTTAAGCCAAGGCAAATTATTTTTCACTTTTTAGTTACAATCCCATAATTTAAGAGTAGCAACACATAGATTAAGTTTCACAGTTAAATTTTAATTATTTTCTAATATTTCTTTGTTTATACTTGATTAAAGCTAATTTTAAAACATGCACTCTGACAGAAAAGACATCTGAGAAACAAAACAAGCAAATTTGTTTTCCATTTTGCACCTGCCCTCCACCAAAAAAAGTCTCAAGAATCAGAACTGGGTAAGAACAGTGATAAGGGGAATCAATCTATATATTCATGACTTTCTTTAAAATTCATTACAAACAAGTTCAAGCTGAATATTGGTAAAAGTTCTGAAAACTCCAAAATTACTGCTTGCCCTGAGGAAGAGCTCCTATATGGTAACTCTAAAGAGGGATGAACAAAAAAGGAGTGCCCTCTAGTCTGATGAATCATGTCCCTGATTGTGAGGAGAAAAATGTATCTGGAGGGTCTAGCTCTGTGGCAGTCCAGGCAGCGCCTGAACAGAGGAAGCCCATGTCAAATGTCTTTTTATTCCATTCACACTCCAGGTCCCTGAAATACACTTACCAGTCATCTTCTAAGCTTCATTTAAATTAAAATAAATCAGACTATAAAAATGATAACAAACCAGACACACAGCTTGTTTCTAACACAGATGATGAAAATTTTTGTTATGATATAGAAACTGAAAAGGTAAGGAACCCAGTAATTATGATTGAAATGAAAGATGATTAAGAGTTTGACATGCAAATGGAAAAATATATAAACCCAAATACCACTAATTGGAAATTAGACATTAGGCATTGGTCTCAGTCTAGAGATCCAGAAAGTCTTTTTGATTTGTGGCTTACCCACCCCAAAGAAATGAAGCATATGATTCAGATAGAAAGCCACAGTATTTCTGCTGCTACAGATACTTATAAAAACAGAAAACCAACACAATGCTTATTCCAGAAGCCACTGAATGACAATCCCAGTGTTAATAACTACAAAACCATGAATCTTGAATTATAAAATCCGGGTTATTATTTGCCACATAGTGAGAGAACATCAAAAATATAGCTAGAAACTTACAGCAAGATATTTCAAGGTCACTAACATAGCACATGTATACATATGTAACAAACCTGCACATTGTGCACATGTACCAGAATTTAAAGTATAATAATAGTAAAAAGAATGAGGTAGGCATGTTACAAGTAGAGTTCCTGGCTTTGGAGAAAGAGAAAGTCCAACTTCAAAAAGACAGAGGTTCACTTGCTGCTTCTTTTTTCTCTTTATCAATTATTTGATTTAGTCATATTTTCTATTCAAGAAAATCCCATGTGTACAGTTACAGCGGGGTTTTCTAAATGTGTAATTATGTGTCAAAGTAGACTAGTCCTGCTATCTAAACAACGGTTCTGGAGAATGTTCTCATAATGTTTGTTCATTAATCAACCTAATTCTCACTCTCAGTCTTCCAAGTGGCATATGAGCTGGGAAACTAATTCAGCCATATACCATGTGACCTTCTGAACCAGATCAACATAAAGAAATTGCTAAAGAAATAAGTTTTAGATTCTAGATTCTTTTTACTATAGTCATTTAGAGATGAATTACATTTATTTAATGATAGAATGGGAATACAATGGGAGGGAAGCAATGACTGAGATGAGCCACAAAAACACTTCTAGCCTTGAGAGTTGCAATGAATATTCCCAGCCAAATGAGTCTGTTTAATGTGTTTTCATGCATGCAAGTTTATCTGCTTAGCTCAAACTGTTTGAATTTATAGTTCCATCATGGTTATTTCTAATATTTTGAAAACAAATATATACTTCCACATATTTTAAAAAATCACCACTCCAATATTTCTGTTGAATCAGACCTTACATTATGTTGTTTAATAAAGTATGGTAAGTTTTGGCATGTATGATTTTTATCATGTAAGAAGCATAATTTCTTAGCTAAAAATTTAACCTTTGACTCTTTAGTAGAAAGTTGAGTTCTGTACACTGTGTTCTAAAGATAGACAAAAATCTAGAGATTTTCTTCTTTCAAAGTAAAAGTAGATGAGGCCTTTTTCCACCCTCTGAGGTGTTAAATTGCTTTGCTCAAGTTAGACTTTTAATATATCTGACTAATTTGATAAATTTATCTGGTAATTTATGTAATTCGGCAACATGGAATTGTATCATGTTATTTGGTGCCATGAAATGCTAGGGAATGCCGCCTCAAGAGCTCTGGATGAAACATTTCATATGTCTTGGTTGGTTTGACTCCCGTTTTCAGTAGATAATATGGCTTAAGTAGATAACTGTACCATATGTGTTCCACCTATAAACATTTGTGGTAATTGAATGTGAAATCTGGGAAGCATCTCGTTTTCCAGAATTCTGCACTAGAAACTCAGCAGTTTCACTCTGCTTCTTGTGTTGTGGCAAACAAACATTGGTTCCCATAGTTCAGGGAGAACTTTCACTTTTTTGATATCCCAGGATTCAAAAAAAAAAAAAGAGATAAAAGGCAGTGGGGAAAAGAATAGCTCAGTGCAGAAAAGGGAAAACTTCTTTACTGTTCTTGAAGGCCTACAAGGTTACATCCTCTTAATCTGGCTATTTCATGTAAAATCCATGTGGCAATGACAGAAGATATATGTTATGCCTGTGTCTTTTTATTTCTCTGTTTCTGCCAGTCAACTAGCATAAACATTTATATCAGATAGCAAAGAGTGGATGCGAATAAAAGCACAAAATGGAGAAGAGTCCTTTTTGAAATTTTGGAAAATTCTTCCATTCACTCAAACAGAAATGAGCAGACTTGACAAAAATTTCAATGATAAAATGATGAGTATCTTATAATTATTATGTATAATGATAAAATTAAAGTAAGCACAAAATACTTTTATCATTAAAATGGCGATAGTTAACCTGAATCAAGTTAAAAAATCAGGGAAAAAGTTTTTTTATTGAATAAAATAATAATTATTATTCATATTACTTTTATTAAAGGTCAAAGAAGGAAATAATACAAACAAAAGTGAAAAAATACAACTATCAGAAAATGTATGTCATAGTACATCTTCTGCTGCTGCTGACAGATTAACCAAAGAAAGAAAGATTGGGAAAACGTATCCTCAGCAATTTCCCAAGAAACTGAAGGAAGAGCATGATAGGTAAGTAAGCCTATAGCAGTTTTTTTTTTTTTTTTTGAGATGGAGTTTCTCTCTTGTTACCCAAGCTGGAGTGCAATGGTGTGTTCTCACCTCACTGCAACCTATGCATACTGGGTTCAAGTGATTCTCTTGACTCAGCCTCCCTAGTAGCTGAGATTACAGACATGTGCCACCATGCCTAGCTAATTTCTTGTATTTTTAGTAGAAATGATGTTTCGCCATGTTATCCAGGCTTGTCTCGAACTCCTGACCTCAGGTGTTCTGCCCACCTCGGCCTCCCAAAGTGCTGGGTTTACAGGAATGAGCCACCGTGCCTGGCCACCTATAGCAGTATTTCTCAGCAGATAATTGTCATTGTGCTATAAACTAATTCAAAATTGGACTAATGTTCATTATGATTAAAAAGTTTTATAGTTTTACCAGGGATATTTAGCCCTGCCTGGTAATCAGAAAAATGCAAATTAACATAAAATAAGATATATTTTGTAAAGTCATGCTGATATTGAAAAAGTAATTCCTACCATTGAAAATGAGAGGAAAAAGGCATTCTCATACACTGTTGGTATATGAAATTGGTAAATTATTTCTGAAGGGTAACTTAGTGCTGTTTATCAAAATTTCAAATAACCTGACATCCCTTTAACTCAACAACTCCACTTCTGGGACTAGATTTCACAGGAAAACATAACTTGTGTAAACATACACACACTTATTAAGGGCATTAATTATATATTACACATAATGAACAATAGCTTAATAAATATATAAAATATATGTAATAAGGTGAATTGGAAGTATTAAGAAAGAATTAGAAAAAGTGTGGGGTAACAGATGTTAGACTCTTTAGCCTAGTTTTAGATGACAATAATCTGCAGATATAGTTTGTGTGAGAGACATCTTACTCTGTAAATCATTTGGAGAGACACCTGCAATATTTCATAGAGATGAAAACTTATTTCTAGTGAACTTATACGCTTGTCAATAAATAGTAACTTTAAAAATTTAGTTGATTGTAAATGACCTTTTCTAATCAGGTAGTAATTATGACTGTGTGATTTGAAAAGGTAGTTTTGAACTTCTAACTATACTGAATTATTTCCAGTATCTTTTTGTATAATACATACTAGAGTGACTAGTAATAAAAACTTTAGCAGAATATTCTTTCCTTACTACTTTTCAAGTATATGCATTCGTTTGAAGATGTTGAAGTGAGAAATTAAATATTTGAGAACTACAAAGGAAAAATAATCCAGAACATAGAAATTTTACTAGGATGATAAAGAGCATCTGCAGAGGTAGATCACAGGATGATCTCTTTATTTTTTAACAAAATGAATTTTAAGATAAATGTCTTTGTCTGCAGATGCATCTTAAGACAAGAAAGTGAAGAAAAAACAAACGTTAATATGCTGTACAAAAAAATAGAGAAGAATTAGAAAGGAAAGAGAAACAATATAAGAAAGAAGTTGAAGCAAAACAACTTGAACCAACTATTGAATCACTAGAGATGAAACCGAAGACTACAAGAAATACTCCAAATCAGATAAATCAATCTTTGGTAAAAATTCTATATTTTAAACTTTATTTTATCAATGTTACTTATAATATCCTCTTGATTTAATATATAATATTTTGGTCTAAAACAAACCAGAAATGTTATCTCATTTTTAAAAAATGAATGATGACACTTACAGGTACAATTATTTTTATTATAAATCTTGGCATCCACATAGGATATTATTTTATTACAAAGAGCTTTTGAAAACAATAATATGCCATAATATATACTTAGTGATAACCTATTGATAAAGATTTTGTTCCCAGTAAAATTGTTCCTTGTACTTCCCGCCATTTCATATTGATTACTGTACCTAATACTATAAAGAGGAAACAAATTATTGCAATCACAAATAATCTCATGATATTCTAAGAAGAGCTCTATAAATTTTATCTTATTTACCATTGGTGTTTTGAAATAAAAGTTTTCTTTCGTATTGATACATTTACACCACAGAAGTAACTGTGATCTGTCAGAGAACTAGAAGTAGAGTAAGAAGTCCTGGGGAAAATCCTGTAGCTTGCTTATATTTTTAACATTTCTTTTTCAAATTTGTGGTAACTAGATGAGTTCATCAATGAATGTATATAGGAGTGACTAGTATAATGTCTAGATTTATGATTTAGTAAATGTAATTCTTTCAACTGACTATAAAAGTGTTAAAAGAGTCAAATTAAAATAGAATGTTATCAGTGAAACAGAACTGTAATAACTCTGGGAAATTTTATCTGTCCAAATATGTGTGAAATAAGGTTCTTACTATAGGGTGGTGTATGGGTTAGATATCAAAGTGTAAATGCAATTTTTGATATATTTTAATTTAGTCAAATTTGTTAATGCTTTAATTTATGCTTTTGAGTTTGTTGTAATTCAGGGAAAGGCTTTTCCAATTCTGAAATTCTTAAAAATTCTCTGGTGTGCGTGTGTGTGTGTGTGTTTACTTTTATAAATTCATTGACTTTAAATAAATTTCTGAACTTTTTGGAACTTATGCTCTATAAAGTACAAAGTTTTGCTTCAACTTTTTCTCCAGTTGGATATCCACTTACAGTAACCTTTTTAGTATATGGATGTGCAGGTTATTCTTTAACTTCAGAGGTAATCATGATATTTTATTGAGTACTAGCTAAAACTTTCTTTTGTTTTATTTAGGATTTTCATAATCAGGAAGAAATGAAAGATCTGATGGATGAAAATTGCATTTTGAAGACAGATATTGCTATACTCCGACAGGAAATATGCACAATGAAAAATGACAACCTGGAAAAAGAAAATAAATATCTTAAGGACGCTAAAATTGTTAAAAAAACAAATGCTGCCCTTGAAAAGTATATAAAACTCAATGAGGAATTGATAACAAAAACAGCATTCCGGTATCAACAAGAGCTTAATGATCTCAAAGCTGAGAATACAAGGCTCAATTCCGAACTGTTGAAGGAAGAAGAAAGCAACAAAAGACTGGAAGCTGAAATTGAATCATCAGTCTAGACTGACTGCTGCTATAAGTAAGCACAGTGAAAGTGTGAAAACAGAAAGAAACCTAAAACTTGCATTAGAGTGAACACAAGATGTTTCCGTACAAGTAAAAATGAGTTCTGATATTTCCGAAGTAGAAGATAAGAATGAGTTTCTTACTGAACAACTTTCTAAAAAGCAAATTAAATTCAATACCTTAAAAGATAAGTTCCGTAAGAAAAGAGATACTCTCAGAAAAAAGTCATTGGCTTTAGAAACTCTCCAAACGACCTAAGCCAAACACAGCAGCAAATAAAGGAAATGAAAGAGATGTATGAAAATGCAGAAGCTAAAGTGAATAATTCCACTGGAAAGTGGAGCTGTGTAGAAGAGAGGATATGTCAACTCCAACATGAAAATCCGTGCATTGAACAGCAACTAGATGATGTTCATCAGAAAGAGGATCATAAAGAGATAGTAACTAATATCCAAAGAGGCTTTATGGAAAGTGGAAAGAAAGACCACATGCTAGTAGAGAAAAATAAGAAGCTAATGAATGAATGTGATCATTTAAAAGAAAGTCTCTTTCAATATGAGAGAGAGAAAGCAGAAAGAGTAGTAAGTATCAAGGAAGATAAATATTTTCAAACTTTTAGAAAGAAAATTTAAACATTTGGTTCTGGATACATGTTGAACTTAGTTGAATATAAAAATCAATGGATAAAAAGTGTGTTTACCATACTGTATAATTCCATTTACATGAAGCATCCAGAAAAGATAAACGTATAGGGACAAAAAGTAGACTAATGTTTGCAAAGGGCTGGGGCTGAAAGCTGGTAGTGACTGCTAATGGGCGTGAGGGATCTTGCAGTGATGGAAATGCTGTAAAGTTGGATTGTAGAGATGGCTGCACAACTCAGTAAATGGACTAAAAAATCTTTTAACTTTAAGTTAAAACAGATACATTCTATAGTATGTAAATTATATTTCAACAAAGCTGTTTTAATAAAAAAAAGGAAAACCGTGTTTACTATACCAGCTTAGAAACGTGCCCCATTTCTAGGAAATAAAAGGTAGAGGTGAGAGATGATTTACTTTGAGAAAAGACATTGTGTCACCTATGAAATTTTATTAGGCACAGAGTCATATTTTAAGGTAGATAGTTCTGTACTGGTGAAATAATAATTTTAATGACTTTATGTTGCCACATGTTAAGACCATAATGTAAGTATAAATGGAAATGTTTACACCTGAAATGAGTATTTTCAAATTAAAATTTAATTGATTTTCTTTGACACTTAATTCTAGATTTCCCAGATGAACTGAAGTGTATTGCTGTGTCTTGTAATACCTTGCTTTAAGTAGCTTTTTATGTATTTTAGTTGGTATATCTTTGTTATTAATCATATTAATTTAACAAATCTGAAAATATGTCAAATTACATATTTTTATGACTATGTAATGTTTTAAAGGCACCTACTTGTTATAAAATCATAATTTAGGATACATGTGGTAATATTTAGCAAAAGTATATTTGGTTTAGTCTTCCCACTGGTATTTATAGTTTACTTTGAATATTTATATTAATAATTAGCTCCTAATTTTTATTTCAAGGCTCAATGGCTATCATTGGAATATAATTTTGTTCAGTACAAAGATACTTGTAGCTGCCTGTGATTTATGAGTAAGGCATTAGATCCCTATTTTCAGACTGAGGGGTGGCAGGCTTCACGTACAGTGGGAATGGAGTAATTACAGAAGGGAGTTGTAGGAGCTTTGAAGTCAGAGAGGGAGGTAGAGACCTGTTTACCTAGGACCTCAAAGGCCATTGGAATTTTACTTTTATTCTGAGATAGGAATCTGTTGGAAGGATTTGTACAGGTGATTGAATATGTGAGGAACTTTGAGGTTGAGTTGAGCTTCTAAGATGATTGAATGGTGGGATGAATCTGTTATGTAAGTAAGAGAATACCAATTTGGCAGGAAGAGAACATATTGTGCATCCCTCACTGAATTCAGTAATAAATAAAAATGTGTACATGTGATTAAAAGAAGGTGAATCGATATGTGTGGTGATAATTTTCAAAGTACGTACGTTAGAGTTAAATATTATTAACATAATTTAATAATAAGGCAATTTATAAAATCAGTAACAAAACTATTTTCTCAGGTGGTTGTGAGACAACTTCAGCAAGAAGCAGCTGACAGCCTAAAAAAATTAACTATGTTAGAGTCTCCACTGGAAGTATATCACATTATCACATTAATTTGGATGAGACACAGGTCCCAAAGAAGAAATTATTTCAAGTGGAAAGTCAAGTATGTATGGAACTTAGCATGTCAACGGTTATTCTGTAGCTAGTTGAATTACATAACATGTTTTAGGATACTAATTATGGCAGAAGCTTGATTTTTTATTTTCATTACAATGAATTATTTCCATTTTACTATCTCTATAATGTACTTATTTTTTTATATAGTGACTTTCATTCTACCATTTTGAAAAACCATTGCATACCTTTTCTTTTACAATATGTACCCTTGGAAAAGTTGAGAATTATACATCATTCCTCATAGAAAACTGACTTTTGTCCTGTTAAAACAGTATTTTTAAGTAATTTTTGTATTGCTCTGATGAGGCAGGCCAGATTAAATCAGAGAAGAATGTTTCATGGAATGTTCCAGAAAATTGTCTTATTTCTTCACTTTTGTGAGTGGACACAGAATCTGTGTCTATTTATTTCACAGATTCTAGGTTAACTTGTACAGAAAGGCCATTATACTATTCTTTTAAAAGTGCATGTTTTAGGTTAATTTACAAACTATTTGAAATGTTAGGCATTTTCTTTATCTTTTATTTAAAATATACTATAAAACTGTGGAAATATTTAAATTTGAGATAACATGTACATCAAAAATTGAGAGTTGAGAAAATTATCTTGATCCTGCCTTTGGATTTTAAAGACAGTTTCACTGAGATATCATTCACATTTGAGAGAGTTCAACCATTTAAAATGTACAACTGAGTATCTATTAGTATATTCACAGCATTTTCATCACCTGAAAAGCAACCCCACATCTCCTAGGCATGACTGCAGCCTTCCTCCATGTCCCTCCACCTACCTCTGTTGTAGGCAACCACCATCTATCTACTTTTGTCTCCATATGTTTACCTGTTCTGCTTATTTCATATACATAGAATTATACAATACGTAGTCCTTTGTGACTGGCTTTTTCACTTAGCATAATGTTTTCAGAATTCACTTAGCATAATGTTTTAGCACACATTGGTAGTTTATTTCTTCTTATAGTTAAGTGATATTCTATTCCATGTCTATACTGGTTTTCCATTCATTCATCGGTTGATGGACCTTTAGGTTAGTTTCCACTGTTTAGCTCTTATGAAAAATGCTGCTGCGAACATTCACTTACAGGTTATTATGTGGACAAGCGTTTTTATTTCTCTGCCATTGGACTTTATCCTCAGAGTTAATTGGGCAGATTTCAGCACTTGTCTTGCTCATGCTATCCTTTCTGCCTTCTCAGTTTCTATTCATCTAGCCTCATTCACTCAGACGTGGCAGACAATTTATTGTTTTCATGAAGCTTTCTCTGAGTGTTCTCTCATTGACCTCATGTGTTAGCAATCGTTGTCTAGTCTGTGCAGAAAAACTTAGTTCTTAATTTTACATGGCTTTTATTTTTTTATGGAAGATAGTTTTCTCTCATTATAAATTTGCTTAATGGGGGAATAATATATAATATGTATGCCACCTATCCTTGCATACATTGAAAATATTTTAGCTTAGAAGTTTGTAGCATACAATTCAATACTTTATACCATACCAATTATTTCTTCTTTGAGACCTTGACACAGTAAGGTTTGTATTCTAAGTGTGTTTTTAGCAATTAAATATCAAAGCCAACCCAATTAGTCTAATACAGGAGACTCGTTCAATCACATGTTTATGTTTTTCTCTCTATGAAAAATAATCTAAATTGGCCTTTTTTCACTATGCAGCAGAACTGTGTTTCTGGACTGGTACCAGTTTGTCAGCTGAACAGTTCTGGGTGCAGCTTGTCCGATGACGGATAGCACAGCCTCTCAATCTGAGTGCTCAGCAGAGTGCTTGTGAAGGCAGCACCACAGCAACAGTTGCTCAGAGGGAACGGATTCAGGAGCCTTGATTTAGCAATAGAGTCCAGGGTTTTCAGCTCAGTGTCTTTAGCCTGTCTCTGCTGGTCATGTCAGTTATGTACTATTCAATCCAGGAGGTGCTGTTTACATTGTAGTACATACATAGTCATTGCCTAATGAGTCATACAGAGAGAAAAGTAAGTTACAAATTATGTCCCCCATTTGCTGCAACTCTCAGTGGTAAGAATGATTCAGTGCAGCTATAGGAGAGTACTTCCATTGGCATGCCACCTGCCTAAAATACACAATTTTGTTAAGATATACAATAAAATTATTATGCTAATAGCAAATATTTTATGTAGCTCACTATGTTCCACGTAGTCTTCTAAGTGTTTCATGTTAGTCCCCAGTTAAACACCTGGTTTTGGAAGGCTGAAGCAGTAGGATCATTTGAGCCCATGAGTTTGAGACCAGCCAGAGCAATATAGTGAGACCCTGTCTCTAAAAAAAAAAAAAAAAAAAAAAAAAAAAAAAAAAAAAAAAAAAAATTTAAACACTTATCTGAGGCATGGTGGTGCACGCCTGTAGTCCCAGCTACATTGGGAGGCTGTGGTAGGAGGGTCGTTTGAGCTTGGAATATTGAGGCTGTAGTGAACAGTGATCAAGCCGCTGCGCTCCAGGCTCGGTAACAGAGGGAGACTCTGTCTCATAAATAAAACGTTTTGTATAGATTCCCTTAGAAGTGAGTTAGACATCAGTCATAGAATTATTAGCCACTTTGATGTCTACCTTGGGAGTAAAACATATAATAAGGGGCAGCGTTAAACCATCTCAATCACTAGCCTCCAACTTCTCAAGAAGGTTCTTATTTCATGAATTTCTACACAAAAGACTAACTGGATTAAGACATTTGGTGGACACCATTTTGAGATGAAGAATCTTGAGTGAGAAGAAGGGAGATCTCTACTTACTGAAGCTTCCCAATGACATAGTTAAATGTCCCCCAAAAGAAACTTTAGAACAAGACTTTCATCATGCCATATCTCTATGGAAAAGGAATTTCTTTAAAAGAAAACAAAGGCAAACAATTGATAATATGATTCTCATGGGAAAGTTTTCATCATAAAAGAAAAAGAGGGCTGGGTGCCGTGGCTCACGTCTGTAATCCCAACACTTTGGGAGGCTGAGGTGCGTGGATTACCTGAGGTCAGCAGTTCAAAAACAGCCTGGCCAACATGGTGAAACCCTGTCTCTACTGAAAATACAAAAATTAGCCAGGTGTGGTGGTGTGCACCTGTAGTCGCAGCTACTTGGGATGCCGAGGCAGGAGAATCACTTGAACCCAGGAGGTGGAAGTTGCAGTAAGCCGAGATGGTGCCACTGCACTCCAGCCTGGATGACACAGTGTGACTCCATCAAAAAAAAGAAAAAAAGAAAAACAAAAAAAGGGACAAAGTATACTGGTCCAAAAAAGAAGAAAGCAAGAAAAAAAGGACAAAATATACTGGTTAGTATCATAACAGTGAGATAGTCCCCCTTTGAGATTAGAAAATAACAGTATACTCAAAGTAACATTAATGAGAACCAACATAAAATAGACAACATTCACTATCTACAAAAGTAATCTGCACCAATTAGCAATGTATGAGCATGTGGTTGAGAATATTTTCTATAATATGGGTACTAGAAGGAAGAGACCTCAAGAAAATGGTCAGAGCTGGAAATGTAGATTAGGGAATCTAGGTCAAAGTTTTGAGATTTTAGGAGTCCTGAGAGAATTTAAAAAGAGAAATAGCCACCAGGCATGGTGGCCACACCTGTAATCCCAGCACTTTGGGAGGCCAAGGCAGGAAGATCATGAGGTCAGGAGTTCAAGACCAGTCTGGCCAACAAGTTTCTTATATAGGTAAACGTGTTCCATGATGGCTTGCTGCACCTATCAATCCATCACCTAGATATTAAGCCCTGTGGGCATTAGTTATTGATCTTGATGCTCTCCCTCCTGACCCCAACAGGCCCCAGTGTTTGTTGTTCCCCTCCCTGAGTCCATGTGTTCTTATCGTTCAGCTCCCACTTATAAGTGAGAAGATGCAGTGTTTGGTTTTTTCTTCCTGCATTAGTTTGCTGAAGATATCAGCTTCGGGTTCATCCATATCCCTGCAAAGAGCATGATCTCATTCATTTTTATGGCTCCATAGTATTCCATGGTGTATATATACCACATTTTCTTTATCCCATTATCACTGATAATGTCCATCTGTGTTGATTCCATGTCTTTACTATTGTGAATAGTGCTGCAGTGAACATGCAAATGCATGTATCTTTATAATAGAATAATTTATATTCCAACGTATGGTACTTTTAAATCAGTTTTGGTATTAAAAATCATGCATTTTGGAAAATATTGATAATGGAAAAATCCAAATTCTGCCAAAATATGTTGAGAAAATAGAGAGTAAATATATCTTTTCAAACTTTAAATGCCTCAGGCTCTTAGTTAATCTTCCCCAGATCTGGGAAGACCTAGAAGGGGAGATTGGGCTACCTTAATGAGGGCCATTTCAATCTCTTGGCCCTGCAGCAGCCATTTCAAAATAAGTCAAACAATATATTTGGGGGTAAATTATTTTGATTTCCTTCAGCTTCTTCTCTCTGTGATGTTGCACCAGAATCAGATTAGAAAGGAAGCCACATTATAAGTGTTAATAAAACCCATCTGATGAGATTTGATAGTTTGAAGGGTGTGTTTCCCAGACCCTTTAGATAGAAATTAGGGCCAAGGAAAACAAGGTTTTATTCCTCTATATAAATCTGTCAGTGCTTTAAGCAGTGAAAGAAAGATTTTTCATTGAATTTTACAGACTTGATACTAATGAAAAGGATAGCTTGTAAAATATAAATCTATTTTTTTATAAAAAGGACATGTTGTTGATTCTCTTAGACCTTGAACCCTGGCCAGTGATTTGAAACCAAGCAGTACCTATCTGCAGATCTCTAGTACCAAATTAATTTGGGGTGGGGGGTAACAGGTTTATTGAGAAATAATGAACACGCCATGCAATTCACTCATTTAAAGTATAGAATTCATTAACTTTAGTATTTTCGAGAGTTATGCCGTCATCATTACAATTAATTTTAGAACATTTTCATCACCCTAAAAACAAACCCCACATCATTTAGCCATCTTCACTAGTTTTCCCTTCCTCCCTCAGCCCTAGGGAACCACCCACCTTCTTTGTATAGATTTGCCTATAAGCCTCTGAAATAAAAAGCAAGTGGTCTGCTGGGACTGGCTTATTTCACTTAGCATAATTTTTCATGCTGCGTCTGTGCTGTAGCAGGTATTGATGCCGGGTTTTTGCTCCTTAGTTCAGCTACATCTGTGTTCTTCTCTCATGATCAGGAAAAATTAAGCCTGCAGACACATTGAGGAGGGCAGAATTTATTATGTGAAAGCACAGCTCTCAGCAAAGAGAGGGGTCCTGCAAAGAGGTTTCCACCTCACAATTGAATACCAGGAGCACATGAGCTGAAGCGGCCAGGCTCCTCATCTGCATAAGGTGTGAATTCCTGGTGACTCCACCCCATCCCCCCACTGCATGTGGGCCTCCAGTCTGCTGTGGGCATGTCCAGGCAAGACAAGTCCAGGTTCCCTTATCTGCACATAACATCAGGTGTAAACACTTGTGGGGCTCGTTGGAGATTCTCCGGGGACCCTTCCGTATCTGCCTAGGCATTTTGCTGTCTCCTTCTAATACGGTATCTGTACTTAATTTCTTCTTATTGCTGAGTAATATTCCATTGTATGGATACATCAAACATTTTATTTATCCATTCGCCAGGTGATGGACCTTTGGGTTCTCTCCCAGCCAAAGGTGACAGACGTTCTGGTTCTTTCCACCTTTTGACTACTATTAATAATGCTGTTGTAAACATTTATGTATGAGTTTTTGTGCTTGCGTATGTTTTTATTTTTCTGGAGTATATACTTATGACTGGAATTTGTGTGTCATATGGTAACTTCATGCTTAACCCTTTAAGGAGCTGCCAGTTTGTTTTCCAAAGTGGCTGCATCACTTTACATTCCCAGCGGCATTAGATAAGGGTTTTAATTTCTTTACATTTTTCCTAACACTCTTTTTTCTTGAACAAAGATTTTATCCTGTGGTGTGAAGTGATACCACATGTGGTTTTGATTTACATTTTCCTAATGACTAATTACATTAAGCATCTATTAATGAGCTTTTCCATCTTTATATCTTCTTTGCAGATATATCTATTCAAAATCTTTGCCCATTTTTTAAAATTGGCTTATCTTGTTATTTATTAATTGCAAGAGTTATTTATATTTCCTATATATGTAAGTCCCTTATCAGATACACACTTTTCAAATACTTTCTTCTACTTGGCGTCTTACCTTTTCATTTCTTCATGCTGTCTTCTGAGGCACAGCAGTTTTCAATTTTGAAGTCCATTGAATCCATTTTTCCTTTGGAGTCATAGCTAAGAAAACACTGGCAAATGCAGTCACAAAGATTTATGCCAGTGTTTTCTTCTGAGGGTTTTATAGTTTTAGCTTTTACAGTTAACTATTTTATTTTGAGTTAATTATTAAATAAGATATTTGGTCGAAATTTATTTATTTTTTGCTTATGGATACCCAGTTGTCCCAGCACCATTTGTTGAAAAGACTATTCTTTTCCCATTTTGTTCTTTTGTTAAGCTTGTATAAAATCAATTGACTGTAAAAGTGCAGGCTTATTTTTAGATTTTCAATTCTTAGCTTGTTTATGTCTATTCTTATGTCAAGGCCCAATCGAATTGAATGAGAAGTTTTTTTCAATCATGTTGCATATTACCAGTTGTCTTATGTCATAATAAAAATTAAATTTAGTGGAATGTCTGTAACTTCACCTTTTGTGTCACAAAGGAGTCTCTGGCCAGCTTATACCTTACTTCCTCTAAGACATGATCAGACGCCAGGCTTACAAGACACACTTAATTTCTTTTTTTCTCCATTCAAGCCTTTAGTCTCTTTTCCATTGCCTCCCACTATAGTTATATTTTCAGTAAGTTTTGGTTACAGGATCTGCTGACATAGTCTAATATTCAGTGCATTATGTTTTACTAACTCATTATAATTCATAGAACCTTCCATAGATGTTTACCATCTAGGAAGGAGAAGTTTAAGTCTGAGCCGCCAGCTTTCCTCAGTGGAAATCAAGTGAAGTCATCATCTTGCAGTTTACAGACCCTCTTTTCTCCTGGTAGCTGGTTCTCTTGGGTAGCACTGTGGCTAATCCTTTTATTAGTGCAGATCTTGCATTCTCAGAAACCACAGTTCCCTATATTGACCTCCTTTTACTGAAACAGAGATGCACAGCTCTGCTTTCTAGCTCAGTAGAGGATTCTTGGAATAAAACGTTTAACTCATTCCAAGAAAAAGTCTTAGGAGTGCAGCACTTCAAAGTCAGGTAAGGTTCAGGCAATTTATCAGAGACACATAGTAGATTAGTATTTTGACTTTCAAAATTTCAGAGCCAAGTTGTGTGCTATAGAGAAGCATTGTGGCGTAACATAGAGATGGGATGGTCTTAACTTCTCCATACAAACAAGCTTGGAGTAAGGTAAAGGAGAAATTGCATTTGTGTCTTAACACTCAAAACACACTATGCTTATTTTACTTCTGTGAAGAATAAAAATCATTCCATAATATTCTCCTTATTTCCTCATTTAGAAAAGAAAATGAAAATTGAATACTAGGTTGATTAATAAATACTCAAAACTTCTTCTTTTAGAATTTTAGTTAATTGAAATCAGGTAAATGTCTGATTTTGCCTATGTCACCCAGTATTTCTAGTTGTTTTTCAAATCATACATCTTCTTGCTTCCCAGTCTTACTTCCTAACCTGAGGGGAAATTGTAAGAAGACACCCTTGCCTTGTTATCAGCGTTCATTATTGAAGTTGTTTTAGGAAAATTCCTCCTCAGCAGCTTATGTCTCTCTCCTGGTTATCTACTGCTTCTCAATAATGTTTGACATCAATAAATAAATATCAACCTTTATTAGATCCTGCTTTAAAGGAGACTCTTTTCTGCTGCATAAGTTATGTTTCCTGTTGTCTCTTTTTAAAACTTATTTTCCTAACAATTACCCAGAGTCTTGTGGCTTGAAAGAAAAACATTTATTTTATTCATGAACCTGTGGTTTGGGAAAAACTTGGCCAGGACAGCTTGCTCTGCTCCCTTCAGCTTCCCTAGGAACAGCTGATCAGTTACGGAAATGGAATCCTCTGAAGCTTTGGTCACCCACTTGTTTGATGGTTGATGCTGGCCATCGGCTGTAAACTTGGTTGGGACAGGCAGCATGAACACTGACACAGGCACTTTCAGGCTCTCTTTGTGGCCTGATGGCTCTCACAATAGGGGCTGGGTTCCAAGGGAAAACAGTCTGAGATAGGGAAGCCACATGGTATCCCTTTCACTACATTCTACTCATTAGAAGGAAGTCAGTAAGGCTGGCCCATATTCTGTTTTTTAAATGGGATGAATGTAGCTTCTCTTTTGTTTTAATTGACACATATATACATAATTATGGGCTATAGAGTGATATTTTTATACACGTATATAGTGTGTAATGATCAAGCTAACTAGCACATTTACTACTTCAACCATTTTTCATTTCTTTGAATTGTGAACATTCAAAATTTTCTGGCTTTTTAAAAATATACAATAAGTCATAGTTAACCATATTCACCCTACAATGCCACAGAACACCAGAACTCACTCCTCTTATCTAACTGTAATTCTGTATCCATTAACCAGCCTCCCCTCCACTACTTCTGTGAGCTTTTTTTTTGTTAAGAGACAGGGTCTTGCTAGTGTAGTCTGGGCTCTGGGCAACTGTAGTCACCCAGACTGGAGACAGTGGTTTGATCATAGTTCACTGCAGCCTCAAACTCTTGGGCCCATCTGATCCTCACACCTCAGCCTCCTGAGCAGCTGGCATTATGGGCATGCACCATTGCACATGTCTGATTTTTGACTTTGTAGAGATATCTCCCTATGTTTCCCAGGGAGCTCTGGAACTTTTGGCCTCAAATGATTCTCTTGCCTTGGTCTTACAAAGAGCTAGGAAATTACAGGCATCAGCCATATTGCCCAGCCTTCAATTTTCCTTTAGCTCCCACACATGAGTAAGAATGTGCAGTATTTATCTTTCTGTGTCTGCACTTAACATCCATCAGACTGATCCACGTGGCCACGAATAACAGGATTTAATTCCTTTATATGGTGAATAGTATTCCACTGTGTTTGTGTGCCACAGTTTTTCATCCATTCATTTGGTGATGGACATGTATGTTGATTCCATACACAAGCTGTTGTGGATAGTGCTACAGTAAACATATGAGGACAGATATCCTTTTGATCTATTGTTTTCTTTTCTATTGCCTGAATACCCGGTAGTGGGGTTGCTGGATCCCTCGGCAGTCCCATTATTAGTTTTTTTGAGAAAACCTCCTGTTGTTCTCTATAGTGGCTGCACTAATTTACCTTCCCACCAACAGCATGTAAGAGTTTACTGTTCTCTGGAGCCTCACCAGCATTTGTTATTTTTTTTGTCTTTTCAATGACAGCAATTTATTCAAATTGAAGCAAGATTATATCACATTGTAGATTTGATTTGTATTTCCCTGAGGATTAGTGATACTGAGCATTTTAAAATTTATTTATTGGCTATTTGTATTTCTTTTTCTAAAAAAAAGTATAGTTAGATATTTTGCCCAATTTTAAACTCAGATTTTTTTACTGTGATGTTGTTTGAGTTTTTTTGTATATTTTGTATATTAGTCCCTCATTAGGTGAATAGCTTGACAATATTTTCTCCTATTCTACAGGTTTTCTCTTCACTCAGTTGTTTGCTGGACAGAAGCTCTTTAGCTTAATGTAGTGTCTTTTGTCTATGATTTGTTGTTTGCCTATGCTTCTGATGTCTTACCCATAAAAATCTTTGTGCAGACTAATGTCCTCAAGCCTTTTCCTTATATTTACTTAGAGTAGTTTGATAATTTTGGGCCTTACATTTCAGTCTTCAATCGATTCTGAGTTTATGTTGTTATATGGTGTTACATAGGAAGCTAATATCATTCTTCTCCATATGGATATTTAGTTTTCCCAGTGTCATTCATTTGAAGAGGCTGTCCTTTCCCCAGCGTACGTTCTTGGCATGTTCGTCCAAAATCAGTTGGCTGGAAATATGTGAATTTATTTCAGGGTGCCATATTCTATGGTCTTTACCCCAAGAATCATTACTTCTTAAAATGCAATTCAAATTAGCATGAAACATTTGCAGTTTAAGGAAAGGCTTATAGCATCAGAATCCTTAATCATAGATTTCATTATTTTGTGTTGTTTTTTGAGATAGGGTCTTTGTCTGTCATCCAGGCAGAAGTGCAGCGATAATAATTCACTGCAGCCCTGAACTCTGGGTACAAGCCATCCTTTTGCCTCAGTATCCCAACTAGCTGGGTCTACAGGCATGAGCCACCATGCCCGGGTAATTAAAAAAATTTTTTTTTTGTAGAGATGGGGGTCTCACTATGTTGCTCTGGCTGATCTCAAATTCCTGGTCTCAAGTGATCTTTCTGCCACAGCTTTTTAAAGTGCTAGGATTACAGGCATGAGCCACCATGCCTAATATAGAGTGTAATATCACTTTCAAAGTCTTATTCCTAGACCCATTTATTGACTTTGGCCTAAATAACTCAATATGATATCTCTGAAACTTTTTTTGACATACTGTGGGGAATGATAATGAAGGAAGGGGGTTAGACACTTTTTACTAGGAGATAACTTTGTGCCATTTAAGGAGGAACAAAAATGAATTATCAGAAAAATAAAAGTAAAATGAAGTACAAAAATTCTGTGGCAAAGATGATGATAGTAAAGAATATATTTTTATGACTCATGGTAGCTTTAACTTTGTTCTTAAAATTCTGAGTAATTTAAGGGTTCACATTTGAAGAATCTGCTGCATTACAGATAACATTTTATTGCAAGTAAATGCATTTCAAAATTTGCTATTGGTTTTGTATTAGATTATTCTCAGCCTACTTCATTATCAAGCTATACTATTTTATTCATGCAGTTTGATGATCTTATGGTGGAGAAGGAAGCTGTATCTTCAAAATGTGTCAATTTGGCTAAAGAGAATCAAGTTTTTCAACAGGAGTTATTATCTATGAAAAAAGTACAACAGGAATGTGAAAAACTTGAGGAGGATAAAAAGATGTTGGAAGAAGAAATATTAAATCTTAAGACACATATGGAAAACAGTATGGTAGAACTTAGTAAACTACAAGAATATAAATCAGAGCTAGATGAAAGGGCAATGCAGGCAGTAGAAAAATTAGAAGAAATCCATTTACAGGTGAGTTGTTTAAATCAGGTAAGTTTACTTGTAATGTGCTTTCATTTATTTCACTGCAAATTATATTTTGGAGATATATATATATATATATATATATAGAGAGAGAGAGAGAGAGAGAGAGAGAGAGATTACCTCTCTTGTAGCAATCTGCTTTGTAGAGTTCTAGAAAAAAATGGTATCTGTTTTTTCTTTTAAATATTTAAATTTCCATTATTATTATAACAAAATCAATCTTTCAGAGTAATGATTCTCATTATGGAGTAATTTGATGATTAAGACCAGTTGGCATAGGAAAAAATTGTGATTTAGAAATTATGTGATAATTATGAATTGGTCTTAAGCTACAGTGTTCATTGATCACTTTTTAAAACTATGAATGGATTCTATTACTTTTTATATGACCAGATTACATTAATACTAGCATAATTATGATTTCAAATTTTTACAAATCAGACTTAATTCTGAATTCAGTTATTAGTTTTGATATTGCTGAAATATTTTAAACTTCATCCTCTTTTTTAACATATTCAAAAATACTCTTTGAATCGCTGACTCAAAATGAAAGGCAACAAACATAATAATTAGGTTATAATTGTTTTAAAAGTGTATTCTTTTCCTCTGTTTTAGGAACAAGCACAATATAAAAAACAATTAGAGCAGTTAAACAAGGATATAATACAGCTTCACTAAATAAGAAGGAACTCACACTTAAAGATGTGGAATGTAAATTCTACAAAATGAAAACTGCTTATGAAGAGGTTACAACTGAGTTAGAAGAATATAAGGAAGCCTTTGCAGCAGCATTGAAAGCTAACAGTTCCATGTCAAAAAAATTAACTAAGTAAGTCAAAACATACACTCATAGAAAATGAATTAAGCTCATTAATTTGTTTCAAAAGCATAATTTTTATTGAGATGGCTTCAGATTAGAAGGAAGTGAATGCTAATTTGACAATGTAATTTTGAAAAATAATGTTAGTAAATAATTTTACCTTTAAAATGTTAGTCAAAGATAGTTTTTGTCTCTCCTCTCATTTTTTTTTTTTTGCTTTTGTATGGCTTTTTTTCCTGAAAAGTCTCATGTAATTAACCTGATCTGTTAGTTTTTTTCACTAAGTATTTTTGAAGCTTTATAATCAATGAAGTGACCTTGTTATAAAATTACTTGTCAGAATTTCCCTAAATAGAAATATTAATGTGTTTAATTTACTTTTCAGTGGATCACAACCTAAATGCAAAGTGGTACTTCTACTCTGGGCACAATTGTTTTTGATTGTGATCTTTAGTATTATCACCAGAGGGTGCCGCAAGAAAGACTATTTGTGTAACATATTCAAGATGTTACAGAAAGGCACCCTTGTGAAATAGGGAATAATTATCACAGGAATTTAAAGAAGTGTAATTCACAAAGCGGTTAAAAAATAACACCTTGTTCAGCCTGAAGCGGTGTGTGGAAGGCAGAAAAAACATGCCCCACCTCCAGGGCCTTGGTCACAGTGTTGGGGACTAATTGTCTTCAGAGATGCTTTAATTCTTTTTGATCACCAACCAGACAATCTAGTTCTCCCCTAGGAGTTGTTGCTCTGAATTATTCCTCAGTGCCAAATGTTTAATTGGTCCTAGATAATGGGTGAAATGTACAAGAGTGAAATCTAAAACTGGTTTACTAAACACAAGTGTTCCTAGATTTTTTTTCGTTCATTTTAGTTTTCTTAACCTACATTAAGGAGTACAACATGATGTTTTGATATAATTATTTCTAGTGAAGTGGTTCTTATAATCAAGCAAATCAACATATTCATTTTCCCACATTATTACCCTTTAAATACAAGTATTTCTAATGGAATCTTCAGAATCTTCCAAGTACAGCCATTTTAGAAGGCAGGAAGTTTTACCTGTTGAGCCATACATTACTGATAGCCATTTCTCTTCCCTGTCTACTTTGTTTGAACTGCTAGTTCAGTAGAAATCACCTTAGAAACAATGGTGCTTCTTTAGAATGATTTTAAAATTATAATTCCTTACAACAGGTATGCTCTTACACATCTTCTGTGTGAAAACACTATTTAGTGGGTAATTTGGTTTACTCTCAGGGTAAGTTTTTAAAAACTGCAAGTCATTAAGAATCATTTAAGGAAAAATGAAATATTAAGCATTTGTCTTTGCTACCTTTACAGATTGAATAAGAAAATAGCAATGATCAGTATCAGCTCTTTATGGAGAAAGAGCAGGTGAAATATTTTCTCAGCACTCTTCCTACAAGGCGAGGTCGAGAGTCACCTTGTGTTGAAAATCTTACTAGTATAGGACTCAACAGAAAATATATTCCCCAAATGCCCGTAAGAATTCCTACTTCAAACCTCAGACTTCAAATAACTGCCAGAACTACTTGACTGAGGTTAGTTATATGACCGTTTCTCTTTAGGGTTTCATTTCTCTAGCGTAATTCTTGTTTATAATTTGGTGAAATACTGAGTTGTTCTGTTGACTTTTGCATGTGAAGTAAAGATCATAATTAGCTGTGTTAACACAGAAAGGAAATGGGAACTTTACATTTTTTAATTCCCTGGAGCTCTCATTTTCAAGAGATATCCATTTGCTAACTTTATTCAATAAATGTGACTAAACTGACATGTTTGAAATGTCTTTAAAAGCTGCATTTAAGTTAGGTTTTAGAAATTGCATGTTATTGCCTGATAAGTGATGATATACTTTGAGATGGTCTGGCTTACTCTCTAATTGATTATAGTTTAGCTGTGGTTCATACCACATTTTTTTTTCTTTTTTTTGAGGCAGTGTCTCACTCTGTCACCCAGGCTGGAGTGTCTTGGTGCCATCTCCACTCACTGCAACCTCCACCTCCCGGGTTCAAGTGATTCTCCTGCCTCAGCCTCCTGAGTAGCTGAGACTACAAGCACCCACCATTACACCCAGCTAATGTTTGCATTTTTAGTAGAGACAGGGTTTCACCATATTGACCAGGCTCTTCTTGAACTCCTGACCTTGTGATCTGCCTGCCTGAGCCTCTCAAAGTGCTGGGATTACAGGCATGAGCCACCGCACCCGGCCCATGCCACTTTTAAAGTTTCTTTGCACCAGCCAGGTGTGGTGGCTCATGCCGGTAATCCCAGCACTTTGGGAGGCTGAGGCAGGTGTATCACGAGGTCAGGAGTTCAAGACCAGCCTGGCCAAGATGGTGAAACCCCAACTCTACTAAAAGTACAAAAAAAATATTAGCCTGGTGTGGTGGTGGACACCTGTAATCCCAGCTACTAGGAAGGCTGAGGCAGAGAATTGCTTGAACCTGGGAGACGGAGGTTGCAGGAGCTGAGATTGCACCACTGCACTCCAGCCTGGGTGACAGGGCAAGACTCCATCTTGAAAATAAAAAAAAAATTAAAAAAGTTTATTTGCACCATCTCAATTCTTCCCACCCATAATCACAACTGAATGATTAGCATCCACTTTGCCACATATGGATGTTTATTATTTAGTAGAATCCAAAATAATTGCATTTTATGAATTAAACAAAACACTAAAATGTTCATTTCCCTTTTTATTTTAAAAGCTTTGTGCTTGGCCAGGCATGGTGGCTCACACTTGTAATCCCAAAATTTGGGGAGGCCGAGGCAGGTGAATCACCTAACGTCAGGAGTTTGAGACCAGCCTGGCCAACATGATGAAACCTGTCTCTAGTAAAAATACAAAAATTAGCAAGGCGTGTTGGCAGGCATGTGTAATCTCAGATACTCAGGAGGCTGAGGCAGAAGAATCACTTGAACCCAGGAGACAGAGGTTGCAGTAAGCCAAGATCATACCACTGCACTATAGCCTTGGTGATGGAGACTCTGTCTCAAAACAAAACAAAAAAAAGGTTTGTGCTTTCTTTACATAAGAGTACATCTTCTGACTATAAAAATCCTGGAAAAAACCTAGGAAATACTCTTCTGGATATCATATTTGTCAATTAATTTATGGCTAAGTCCTCAAAAGCAATTGCAAGAATAACAAAAATTGACAAGTGTGATCTAATTTAGCTAAATAGCTTCTGCACAGCATGAGAAACTATCACGAGATTAAACAGAAAGCCTAAAAGAATGGAAGAAAATATTCACAAAGTATGGATATAGCAAACGCCTATTATCCAGAATCCATAAGAGACCTAAACAAATCAACAAGCAAAAAATAAATAAGACCATTATAAATGGGCAAAGGACATGAACAGACAGTTCTCAAAATAACACACGTAAGTGGCCAACAAACATTAAAAAATGCTTACCATTGCTAATCATCAGAAAAATGCCACACAAAACATCAATGAGATACCATTTCACACCAGTCACAATGACTTTTGTTAAAAACAAATAATAAATAAAAACTTAAAAAAGGATGTTGGGGAGGCTGTGGAGAAAAGGGAACACAAACGGTTTGTGGCAATGTAAATTAATTCAGCTACTATGGAGAGCAGTTTGGAAATTAAGTACTAAGAATGACTGTTGGATGCAGCAACCCCATTACTATACTAGGGGTATACCGAAAGGACAATAAATCATTGTAACAAAAAGATGTATACACATGTATGTTCATTGCAGCACTATTCACAATAGCAAAGACGTGGAGTCAATCCAGGTACATCCAAGGTAGATTGAAAATCCAAGGTAGATTGGAAAATTCCATATATACCATGGAATACTATGCAGCCATGAAAAGAACAAAATCACATCATTTGCAGCAACATGAATACAGCTGGAATCCACTCTCCTAAGCAAACCAACGCAGAAACAGAAACCAAATATCTCATGTTTTCACTCATGTGGGAGCTACATATTGGGTGCACATTGTCATAAAGGTGGGAATAATAGACACTGGGAAATAAGAATGGGGAGGGACAGAGTGGGCCAGGGTTGAAAAACTACTTCTTGGGTCCTATGCTCACAACCTGTGTGATGGGTTTAATTGTACTGCAAACCTCGGTATCCCTCAATATGCCTTTGGAAGAAACTTACAGGGGTACCACGTTAATTTAGAATACAAACTAGAAAAAAAAGAGAAAAGTTTACTATAAGTAGAGAACAGAAATTTCTTTTTAAGATAAAATTTATTGAAGTAAAAAATGGATTAAACTTTTATAAAGGGCAGAGTTTTCTAAGAATTTCAAAGCAATGCATTCATTGCAAAAGATGGCTTTAATTACTTAATCTTTTTTTTTTTTTTTTTTTTGTGAGACAGGGTCTCACTCTCTCACCAGGCTGGAGTGCAGTGGTGCAGTCTTGGCTCACTGCAACCTCCACCTCCTGGCTTCAAGCAATTCTCCTGCCTTAGTATCCCAAGTAGCTGGGACTACAGGTGCACATCACCACGCCCAGCTAATTTTTGTATTTTTAGTAGAGATGGGGTTTCCCCATGTTGGCCAGGATGGTCACGATCTCCTGACCTTGTGATCTGCTTGCTTTGGCCTCCCCAAGTGCTGGGGTTACAGGTATGAGCCACCATGCCTGGCCATTGTTTAACCTTTGTACTAATAAAACACTACCTTTCTAAAATCATGTATATGCAATAGATCAATATTAACTGCATTTTTGTCAGATTACTCTAAACAGCATTACACATATACATCCTCTGTTATCTAAACTTAAAATAAGTAGAAATTTTATTTTATTTATGTGATTATTTTTCTATTTAAGCAAACTTCAAGTTATGTCTAGTCACTAAAAATACTAAAGGCCACATTTTGTAAGTGATACATGATTTTCATGATAATGTTTCTTGTTTAATTTAGACATTATTATTATTTTTACTTATTTTAGATGGGGCTGGACTGTGTAGAATAAATAATTAGAGAAACAAAGAGAAGTACGTTGACAAAATTTATTAATTAAATTTAGGTTTATTTTAGAAATAAAGTGTAAATAGCAAATGGCATTCCTTTTCATTCTTGGGTTAGTAGATACTACATCAATATTTTTTTCTTACACACATCTAATGAAAGATGTGAAAACAAAAACTTTCACAGAGAAGACTGTACTTATGCACCATAAATTCATCATGTTCCTAAGCTTAAACAGTTCCCAAGAAGTCTGTGCATCTCTTTTTCACTGGCTCTACAGTTTCTTAAGTTTTGCCATCCTCATGGAACTGTCAGCCAGCACACTGAAACGATTCTCAGAAAACAAAAGCATCATCAAGTTCTCAGGGTTTCGGTAGAGATTGAAGGCCAACAGACCTAAGACTCATTCAGAAATACTTAGCTGAGCAATAACCCTTCATAAACAGTCACTTGACAGGTGACATTTTAAATCTCCTCTAATTTACTGTGTCATTGGCTTACACTTGTTCTCAGGAAAAGTTCCAAATTTTTCACCATGAAATAAAAACACCCATGTCAATGTAATTCTTGCCAAGTTACTCAGCCTTGTTTCTCACCACTTACTGCACTCTGCCCTTTGCTCTAGCACCAAACTGGATGGAGTGGAACTCTGCAGGGCTCTTCCTCACCTCAGGCTCTTTGTCTTTGCCTCTTTCCTCTATCTGGGAAGCTTTTCCTTGTCCTTCAGGTATCAACCTATGTTATCTCCTCCACCAGAAAGCCCATGATATTGACATAAAAGTGGGTAGATGTCCCTTCTCTGTGTTCCAGTAGTGCCCTGCTGTATACCTGTCACGGTATCTATGACTCTATATGGACATTGCCTGCCTGTCTGTTTTTTAGGTTATAGCTTATGACTGTTGAGAGGTGGACCATGCCATCTTCATCTTGTAATTCCAATGCTGGTTCTAGTACCTTAGCATGTGGCTGTTGATTACATGAATGAAGACTGAAAAAGTTCTGATATTTAAACACAATTAGAATTAATGCCATGTGTAAATTATTAAATAGTAATTTTGTATTGTAAATGTACATACATATTTCTCATTCTTATTAACTCTGATAAAGTTCTCAAGTCTTTAGTTTTTAAACTCACACTTAGTTAACTGAAGTGTTTTAGGTAAAGAACAAAATTCTTTATTTTTCTTTCCAGCTGTTGCTGTATTGGACACTTGCTCCCATCTACTTTCTTCTCTAGAATCCACGGGTAAGCCACATCTAATGAAGAGAATATTTAACCATAAAGTCTTAAGGAAAAATTCTATGATGATTTAAAAGATTATAAAACTTTATTACTGGGCTATTTACACATTTTAATTGTTTCTCATAAAATATATAACATTCCAATATTTACTGAAGTAGGATATTTTTGTATCATATGTATGATTATAATTTATAGGGTATTTTAAATGATGTTTTTTGGCCTCCTTAAGTTTTAAGTGGATCTTGCAAATGAAAACCAGTATTATTGAGTTTGACATACTCAAATTGCCCAAATGTCAGCTGTTTAAACAACCAAGTCATCACTGATACTTTAGTAAAGGTTAGTAAAGGTCATCGAAGGCTTATTTGCATTTTACAGTTTTTATTACTTAGGAGAGTTAAGGAGTACCTGCCAGGTTTGTCCATGCTAATGTTACAATTTTCTTTTTGTAGTTCAACTGTATTTTGTATGGAGATACTTTGAGGCTCTGTAAATATCTGGTTACTCCTCAGAACCCACTAGATTTAGCATTTCATGGATGACTTGTGTTTGAACAATTATTACTATGATGGTTACCAGATGATTATTTTCTTATTCTCTTCTTTGTTCTACATGGAGAAATAAAACCAATAAATAAGGGAGAAGGAAAGCTCATGATTCTGATGCTCCAATTCCCCAAGATTAGGCCAGTAGTAGACATTCCAAGCTGACTTTATGTCTCTTTGATTTGTCTCCATTACTCTGTCGGCACTTTTTTACTTTCTGGCAGAAGATGTTCTAAGCTCAGCTTGTATTTTCTCTGCGCCAGCTCTGGAATGAGTCATTTTTTTTAGAAGCAGAGGTGGAGCCACTGAGGAAGCACAGGTGAGCCTTCCCCAGTGTGTACTCACTGGTCCCCAACAGAAGAACCACTGCCACATCCACTGAAGTACCAAGAAACTAGCAAAGGGCCTTCTGGCTGTCTGGGGAGAGTCCTCATGTGGTCCCTGGCTGTCTCAGAGGTTCTGGATTAGTCTTCCTGTAGCCTCTGTGTTCTGTCTTTAGATCGGGGCTCTGTGGGAAGGGCCCTGAGAGACCCAACAGCACAGCGTGCCTTATCTGCCAAATGTCCCTCCCTTCCTCACACCCTGACACTCAGGAATAGGGTAGATGGTGTGTCCAGGCAGTATCAGGCCACCTCACTTTCTCCTTTGAGACGGGCCCAGAGGGCCTTTGGGGTGAGTGTGGAGCTGGGAACCTGGAGCCTGAGGCCAACTGTCTCTCCCTGTGTCTTGGAGGAAAGGCCACGTCCCAAAAAAAAACCCCAGGGCCTGACCTCTGGGCACACATGCAGGGAGGGAGGGTCTATGAGCTGAGGGGGACATTGTAATGAGACTTTGAACCCCGTTGCTCCGGGGCCTGGTCAGTGGACCATGGTCAGAGATGACCTGGTCATCAGGACCTGGTCATTTGGGACCTGATCAGCAGGGGCCTGGTTAGTGGCGGCCTCCTCAGTAAAGGCCTCATCAGTGGGGACCTGGTGACCTAGTCATTGGAAGCCTGGTCAGTGGGGGGACCTAGTCAATGGTGGCTTTATTAGTGGGGCCTGATCTGTTGGAACATAAACAATGAAAAACTGGTTGGTGGGGCATACACAATATATCATGGGCCTGGTCAGTGTGGGGCCTTAGTGGCTTGGAGCCTGGTCAGTGAGGGCCTGGTCAGAGGGGGCTCAGTCAGCTGGGTACTCGTTCATGGAGAATTGTTCAGTGGGGGGTCGGTTGAGCAGCAACCTGGTAAATTGTGGTCTTGTCAGTGGGAACCCTGTCTTGTCAATGGGGACCAGGTCAGTGGAAAATTGGTCAGTGGGGTCTGGCCCATGAGGCCTATTAAGTGTGGGCCTGGTTAGGAAGACATGGTCAGTGGGGACTTGATCAGTGGGACCTGGTCAATGGAGGAGTGGTCATTAGGGGTCTCATCACTCATCACTGGGAACCTGGTCAGGGGCAGTTTGTCAGTACCTGGCCTGCTGGCCACTATGTGACCTCAGGCAGGGGGGTTGTCTGTGGAGTCTCCTTGCCTCCATCTGCAGGGAAAGTGAGTCGGGGCACCCTGGAGGGTGGCTGGAAAGAGAAGGTGAGAAGATGTGTTGAATCCAATACTGCTTGGCAGACCTACAACTTTACAAATGACCTGTGTTCCACCTAGAGAGGGTGCCAGCCCTCTCAGCATTATGCAGTGCCCCTCCTCTGTCTGCATCCCCAGGACCACCATGGGTGGGGAGGGCAGAGATTGGGGAGCACCTATAGAGGCTCTAATGCTCTAAGGTGACAGTGATGAGGACCTGGGTGCACCCATGAGTGGAGAAGCTAGGCCTGTCCAGAGAAGCAAGACAAACACACACATACACACTCACACACACACAGGCACATATGCATACACAAATACATTGCATACACACATGTCAGTTCAGGGGATAGAGGACACTGACTCTGGGCCCTGTTGACCCAAGCAGACTCCCATGGTGGTGGGTTGTGTCACCCCACAATGTCACTGTTGCTGAGTCCCCATCGCCTCTGTGTTGTGGAGCAGTTAGAGACACACAGCAGTGTCTGTGAGTAGCTCTGCGTGAAGGACCATTTTCTAGATGAGAGGCACATCTCAACACAGCTCACTGATCAGATTCAGGTGAGTGGGACCTGCTCTTTTCTCTTCCTTCTGGCTTGGGAAAAGTCACTATCAGGTGGATGGTTTTGGTCTCTGGGCAGCTACTGAGGGTAATCCCTGAACACTCACCAGCTGCCTGTTATGTGCTGACAGTCATCTCATTCATCCTCGCAGCAATTCCATTCTGCATCTTTTCTGATCACCTCCGTGACCACACAGGACAACCCCATCAGGGCCCTGTCACCAGGCCCAGTCTAGCTCCATGATAACCAAGACACAGGCCCAGAGACAATCGTCCTACATTGTGCCTGCATCTGACACCCCTTGGTAGGTAGTGACCAGCACAACATGGAAGAAGCCAGAGCAGCATGCAGCCAGCTGCTCTGCAGCCCCAAATGGCTCCTGGGCCTTGGGAAGTCACTCATAAAGGGGAAGCTGGTCACTTTGAGGTCCCTGAAGGGAAGGGTGAACGTGCATCCCAACAGCCCTGGCAGCCAGCAGCATGCCATACATATTTTCACCCAACGTGTGTGACAGAGGTCCCCTCCTGGGGCACAAGTCCCATACCTAAAGCATCTTTTCCCAGTCGGACCTCATCCTGAGCCCTGGGAGGGGAGGGGGAGCATGGGCCCCCCTGCAGCAGCCAGGATTACCACCCAGGGGACTCGGCCTTCTGTGGTCCTGGCCAGACTTAGAATTTGGCCCAAGACAAACTTACTCGGAGCAGCTTCTCAGTACCTGGGGCCTGTGCATACCAGGCAAGGCCAAGCTGGCTCAAAGAGCAACCAGCCACCTCTGCAAGGGTATGCCAGTAGCAGGTGGAGCAGTCACCAACCTCACGCACTCAAGGAAACAGGGATGGCCAGTTTCCCACAGTCTGAGTGACCACCACCTGACAGCTGATGGAGTGGAGGCCTGAGGAAAAGCAGATGGCACTGGGGCTCCACCTCCAGGGCAGAATAACTGATTTACCCTGACTGGCAGGGAGTGACGTTGGTGGCTGGTCCACTGGCTCCTGGCACACCCTTGCAGAGGTGGGTGGTTGCTCTTTGAGCCAGCTTGGCTTTGCCTGGCATGCACAGGTCTCAGTGCAACAAATGTGCTGCAAATGGAGCCACATAGAGGAAATGAGCAGCAGGCTCAGAAGTGGGGTGTGTGCCGCCTTTGGGGCTCCAGTCCAAGCATCGGGGCTTCTACAGCACTGTGGGCTTCTCGGGTGCCAAGAGGCAGACCACAGGCCATCTTGAGGAGGACTCTGGTAAGAGCTTCCTTGTGTACGTGGATGATGTCCAGAATGTTGGCCTGGTGTCCCTGAGATAGCACTAACAGGTCCATGACTGGGTCCAGATCCTGCCTGGGCTGATGGGCAAAGAGCTCACTGACAGTGTGGAAGGCATCTATGGTGAAGTGGATCTATGTTCAAGTGCAGAAAGGGCCCAATCTTGTAGATGAACCACACAGCCAGCTTCTGGATGCAGGTGCAGTGCCACATTTTTTGTCACTTCCTGATGTGCCCCACCAGCACTGAAGAGATAGCCTGGAGACAGGGCAAGAGGAAGGCTGAGAAGGATGAGATGGTGAGTGCCAGATTCTTCCTGGCCCTGAGCCCACCCCCAGTGTGACACTCAACTTTTAGGAGTGGGAGAGCAAGATTGATGGCTTCAAGTGCTTCACCAAGAAGATGGACAACAGGGCACTCAGGTCAACTTCACAGCCAATGAGTGGTGGCAGGCTTTGAGAAAGAGCATCAGAAGCCTGACAGTTCTTCTTCAGCCTCAGCCAGGCCTTGGAGCTGGAACAGGCCATCCACTTCAGTATAGATGCCTTCCACTCTGTCAGTGAGCTCTTTGCCAGTCAGTCCAGGAAGGACCTGGACCCAGCCATGGACCTGTCAGTGCTGTCTCAGGGACACAAGACAAACATCCTGGACATCATTTACATACACAAGGAAGCTCTTACCAAAGTCACGGAGAACAGACAACATGTGGCAGAAGGGAAGACAGAGGTGCAGAGGCTGATGGAGTCATTATCACAGGAACAGGATTTCTTTGGCCACTTTGGCTGAAATTCACCACTTCCATCCAATTCACTCAAGTGAGAGACTTGAAATCACAGATGGAGCATTTCTTGCAAAAAGAGATACTATTTTTTCAAAAAGTCACCTAAAATTTGATAGTGTTGAATGACTAGCTATTCGAGTGTGGACTTTTTCCAGTTCACGGGTACTTTCTACAGCAGAATGATAACAGTATCAAAGAGCTGGTGCCAGCTATCGGTGGTAGTACAAGGATGACTTTGTGCTCAACTGAAACCCAGATGAATATAGAATTGTGTACGAAAGTGTTAATATGGTGATAGAATAGAAACAGTAGCAAATGAACTAAATCATACTATGAATGCCTACACTACCATTATAACTTTTTGAAGAATGATAATACCACTTACTTTATTGTCTTTTGAAGTAGGAATATTTTAGTGGATATCCTATAGATCTGAAACCCTATAAAGAATCCCAAAGAAGCTGGCTGGATAAAGCCTGCTATGGATGTCTTTATACTCAAAGACTGATGAGGCAATTCGAATATGTGTCCCCACCAAATCTCTTGTTGAATTATGCTTCCTAATGTTGGAGGTGGATCCTGGTATAAGGTGATTGAATCATGAAGGCAAATTTCTCATGAGTGGTTCAGCACCATCCCCTTGGTACTGTCCTCACAATCATGAGTAACTTCTCGTGAGATCTGGCCACTGAAAACTCTATATCACTCCCTACTCTCCGTGATTTCCTCTTGCCATGTGAGACAATTCACTCTTTCATTACCTTGCACAATGATTGAAAGATTTCTGAGGCCCCCCAGAAGCAGAAGCACTAAGCTTCCTGTCCACTCTGCAGAACCATGAGCCAATTAAACCTCTTTTTCAAGATAAATCTTACCAAAAATGGCAAATGAGGACTGGAGCATTGCTATAAAGATACCTGAAAATGTGGAAGCAACTTCGGAACTGGGTAATGGGTAGAGGTTGGAAGAGTTTGGAGGGCTCCAAAGAAGACAGGCAGATGAGAACATTTTTGGATCATCTTAGAGACTGGTTAAATGGCTGTGACAAGAATGCTGACAAAAACATGGACAGTGAAGGCCAGGCTGAGGGGGCCTCAGATAAAAATAAGAAGCTTTCTGGAAAATGTCTCTCTTTTGGATATGGAAAGCTTACACAATGCCTGTACCATCATTGTACCTTAGACGCAGTGAACTTGCTTTTTATTTCAGAGACTTGTAGGCAAAAGAGAATGTAGCCTTGACCCAGATGAGACTTTGCACTTTGTAACTTTGAGTTAATGCTGAAATGAGTTAAGACTTTGGGAGACTGCTGGCAAGGCATGACTGTATCTTGCAATGTGAGAAGGACATGAGATTTGTGGGGTCAGGGACAGAATAATACGGTTTTTCTCTATGCCCCTTCCAAAACTCATGTGAAAGTACACTCTCTAATGTTAGAGTCGGGGCCTAGGTGGAAAAAGCTTTAATCATAAAGGAGTGGGAGTGGATCCTTCACAAATGGCAAAGCACCAAGCCCTTAATGCCATCCTCCTGATAGTGAGTGAGTTCTCATGAGATCTAGTAGTTTAAAAGGCTGTGGAACCTCTTTCCTCTCTCTGTCTTGTTCCAACTTCTGCCATATGAAACATGTCATTGCCGCTTGGATTTCCAGTGTGGTTAGGAGGGGCCTGATCAGTGTGGGCCTGGTCAGTGGACCTAGGTCAGTGAGGACTATTTAGTGGGATAGTGGTCAGCAGGGGTCTGCTTAGAGAGGGTCTCATTAGTGGGGTCTAGTAGTGGGGGTTTTGGTGAGTGGGGACCTATTGGCTGCCAGTTGTTTGGTGTCTGGTCAGTGCAAACCTGGGCTGTGGGGCTTGATCAGTGGAGACCTGGTCAGCTGGGGCTTAGTGCTGGTCTGGTCAGCATGGGCTGGGGCACTGGTGACCAGGTCAAGGGGTGCTACTCAGTGCAGGACTGGGCACATGGGACCTAGTCAGCAGACCCTGGTGGGCGTGTCCTCATCAGTGAGGCCCTTGTCAGTGGGGCCCTGGTCAGGGCAGCCTTGTCGGCGGGACCTAATCTGTAGTGTCCTGGTCAGAGAGGACTTGGTCCGTGGTGACTTTTGTAGCACCGGGCTACAGGGTGACCTGGTCAGCGGGAATCTCAGCATTTGGTGCCAGTTCAGTGGGGTCTACTCACTAGGGTCCCAGTCAGGGGCATCTGGTGACATAAGGCCTCATTATTAGGGGCCTGATCAGTGGCAACCTGTTCCCTGGAGGCCTGGTCAGTGGGGCCTCATCTTTGGGCCAGGGAATGAGTTCATGATCAGTGGAACCTGATCAGTGAGGCCTTGTCAATAATGACCTAGTCAGTGAGGACTTGTCAGTAAGGACTTGGTCCGTGAAGCCTTGTCAGTGAGGCCTTGTCAGTAAGGTCCTGGTCGGTGGAGTCCTTGTCATTGTGTGCCTGGCAGTGGGGGCCTTGTGAGTGGGGCCTGGTCATGAGGGTCTAATCAGTGAGGGTGTCATCAGGGAGGACCTGATGTGCGGGGTCTGGTCAGCAGGGACCTGGTCAATGTGGGCTGCTGAGCACTGCTTGGATAAGCCAGGTGCAATGTGCATTATTGAAGGCCCTGTGGACAGCTGGGATAGCCCAGTGATGCCCAAGGGCCTAGTCAAAAGTGGACAAAGCACGTATTTGGATGGACCTGGGAGATCCTGCTCAGAGATTCTGACAGGACAAAGGTAAAGGAAGGGCCAGAGTGGCTGGAGAGATGGTCACAGTCTATGGGCTGCACAGGATGGAGGAGGCCAGGGAAAAGGCAGGGTGGGCAGTTGGGGTTCAGGGAGAGGCAGGTGCATGCTGGGAGGTCAGACCCTGTGAAGGCTTTGGGGGCGTCAGGTTGGGTAGGCTCCAGGCACTCTCACTCACATAGGATTCCAGAACACTGCTACAAGGCTCTGAGTGTTTGTCCCTCACATAGGATTCCAGAACACTGCTGCCATTGTCTGAATGTTTGTCCTCCACATAGGATTCCAGAAGTCTGCTGCTGGGGTCTGAATGTTTGTCCCCCATCTAGGATTCCAGAACACTGCTGTGAGGGTCTGAATGTATGTCCCTCACATATGATTCTAGAATATTGATGCTAGGGTCTGTATGTTTGCCCTTAACATATGATTTCAAAACACTGCTCCTGGATTCTGAATGTTTGTCCTTCTCATAGGAATACAGAACACTGCTGCTGGAGTCTGAATGTTTGTCACTCACATAGAATTCCAGAACACTGCTGCGAGGATCTGAATGTTTGACCCTCAAATGGGATTCCAGAACACTGCTGCGAGGGTCTAAATGTCTGTCCCTCACATAGGTTTCCAGCACAATGTTACGAGGTTCTGAATGTTTGTCCCTAACATAGGATTCCAGAGCACTCCTGCTGTGCTCTGAATGCTTCTCCCTCACATAGGATTCCAGAACACTGCTATGAGGGTCTGAATGCTTATACCTCCTATAGGATTCCAGAACACTCCTGCTGTGCTCTGAATGTTTGTTCCTCACATAGGATTCCAGAACACTCCTGCCGTGGTCTGAATGTTTGTCCCTCACATAGGATTCCAGAACATTCATGCTGGGGTCTCAATGTTTCCCTTAACATAGGATTTCAGAACACTGCTCTTGGGGTCTGAATGTTTGTCCCTCACATAGGATTACAGAACACTGCTGCTGGAGTCTGAATGTTTGTCAGTCACATAGAATTCCAGAACACTGCTATGAGGGTGTGAATATTTTTCCCTCACCTAGTATTCCAGAACACTGTTGCAAGGGTCTGCATGTTGGTCCGTCATATAGGATTCCAGAACACTGCTGCTGTGGTCTGAATGTTTGTCCCTCACATAAAATTCTGGAACACTGCTACAAGGGTCTGAATGTTTGTCCTTCACATACCATTCCAGAACACTGCTGCCGTGGTCTGAATGTATGTCCCTCACATAGGATTCCAGAACACTGCTACTAGGTTCTGAATGTTTTTCCCACACCTAGGATTCCAGAACACTTCTGCTGGTGTCTGAATGGTTGTCCCTCACATATGATTCCAGGACACTGCTATGAGAGTCTTAATGTTTGTCCTTCACATAGAATTCCAGAACACTGCTCCCGTGGTCTGAATGTTTGTCCCTCACATAGCATTGCAGAACACTGCTACAAGGGTTTGAAAGTTTGTCCCTCACATAGGATTCCACAACACTACTGCTGGGGTCTGAATGTTTGGCCCTCACATAGGATTCTAGAACACTCCAGCTGGCTTCTGAGTGTTTGTCCCTCACATAGGATTCCTGAAGACTGCTGCTGTCGCTATAGTCGTTGAGAGTGTCTGAATGTTTGACCTTCACCAAACACCAAATATCCTGGCCCTTTAGTCTTGTACTTTCCAGCCTCCAGGTCTGTGAACAATAATCTCTGTTGTTTATGAATTACTCAGTCTGAAGTATTTTGTTATAGTAGCCTAAAGAGACTAAGAGAGCATCACCTGCCCTGTCACCTCATCACCGCATTACTGAAGCTATACTAACAGCAGTCACTTTTAGTGGGTACTTCATGCATCAGAATAAAGGGAAAAAATTGCAAGGCATACTAAAATCCAAAAAAAGAAAAAAATACAATTTGTATCAACAGAGCAAGCTTCAGAAGCAGACAAAGATATGATCTTGGAATTTTTTTTTAAACCTCTGGAGAATATGCTAAGGGCCTAATGAATGAAGTAGACAGTATTCAAGTGTAGACGGGTAATGTAATGAGAAAGACAGACATCGTAAGAACTTTCAACATAATGTAGTGATGAAAAACGTGGTAAATAACTGAAGAATACCTCTGATGGCTTATTAGTAGACTGGACTCAGCTGAGTAAAAATCTCTGAGCTTGAGGATTTATCATCAGAAACTTCAAAAACTAAAGAAAAGAAACACTGAAAAGAACAGAAGATGATATTCAAGACTGTGGGACAACTACAAAAGGTGAAACAGTAATGAGAATACCAAGAGGAGAAGAAATAGAAGAAAGTTCTGCAACAACCATGTCTGAGAACTTCCAGTATTAATGTCAGACACCAAACCAAAGATCCAGGAAGCTCTGAGAACACCAGGCAGAATAAATACCAACAACCTACACTTGGACATATAATTTTCAAACTATATGAAATAAAAGATAAAGGAAAACTCTGAAAGAAACCAGAGGTGGGGCAGAAAACACCTTACCTACAGAGACACAAAGATAAGAACTGCATTCAACATTTCAGAAACTGTGAAAGTAAGAAGACAGTGAAATGAAAAATTCAAAATGTTGACAGAAAAAACCCACCAACCTAAGTTTCTGTACCCACTGAAACCACCCTTCAAAAGTGAAGGAGAATTAAGGCCTTCCTCAGAAAAATAAAAATTCAAGAAACTTGTTGCCAGGAGACCTGTCTTGCAAGAAATGTTAAATGAAATTCTTTAGGGAAACAAAAGATATATAACTGAAACCTGGATCAACATTTTTTTAAAAAGAGCATTAAAGAAAGAATTGTGGTACAATAAAAACCTATGTATTTATTCTTAATTGATCTGACCAAGAAGATCATAGACAATAACAAATACAGATATATTATGTATGCTTATATACAATTGAAATGAGTAACACTAATACAAGGAATGGAATGGAAGGATGGTAGGGAGGCATTGTGGTACAATAAAAACATGTATTTATTCATAATTGATCTGACCAATAAGTTTGTAGATAATAATAAATACACACAGATAGATTATGCATGCTTATACACAAGTGAAATAAGGAACAATAATACAAGGAATGGAATGGAAGGATGGGAGGGAGGAATCAGGTGTTTTCTTTGTTAAGCAGGTAGTCACCCGTGAAGTGGGATAGTGTTATCTGAAAGTGGACTTGAATTGGTTGTAAATGTATATTGAGGAATTAGGTGTGTTCTTTGTTAAGCAGGTAGTCTTATTTGTGGGATAGTGGGATAGTGTTATGTGAAAGTGGACTTGAATTGGTTGTAAATGTTACTGAGGAATTAGGTGTTTTGTTTGTTAAGCAGGTAGTCTTATTTGTGGGATAGTTGGATAGTGTTATTTGAAAGTGGACTTGAATTGGTTGTAAATGTATATTGCAAATTCTGTGACAACTAGTTAAAAAAAAGTTTTAAAAAGAGAAGTACGTACTAAGAAAGACAGGGAAAATGGAGTCATCTAAAATCATCAATGAAAACTGCAAAAGGCAGAAAAAGAGTCGTAGACAAAAGAATGAAGACTGAGGAGAATGAATAGAAAACAGTAACAAATATAGTAGATATTAATCCAATGATATCAATAATCACTTTGAATGTTAATGGTATGAATGTACCAATTCAAAGGTAGAGATTGTCAGAGTCTATCAAAAGACAGACACATCTTGTTTCACTGCACTTTGCTTTATTGTGTTTTGTGACCATGTGTTTTACGTATTGAAGGTTTGTGGCCACCCTGCAATAAGCAGGTCTCACTGGCACCATTGTTCCTACAGCACGTGCTCACTTCACGTTTCTGTGTCACATTTCGGTCATTCTCACAGTATTTTAAGATTTTTATTATTGACTCTGTTGTGGTGATCTGTAATCAGTAATCTTTAATGCTACTGTTGTCATTGTTTTGGGAACCACAAATCACACCAGGATAAGACAGCAAACAATTGACAAATGCGTTTGTTCTGACTGCCCAACCAACGGGCCATTTCTCTTTCTCTTTTTCTCAGGCTTCTTTTTATTAATATTAAAATGTGGCCAATTAATAACCCTACAATAGCCTCTATATGTTCATGAAAGAAGAGTTGCATGTCTGTCACTTTAAACCAAAAGGAAGAAATAATTAAGCTTAGTGAGGAAAGCATGCTGTAAGCAAAACAGGCCAGTAGCTAGACCTCATGCAACAAACACTTAGCCAAGTTGTGAATGCAAACGAAGTGTTCTGGAAAGAAATTTAAAGTACTGCTCCAGTGAACACATGAATGATAAAAAGCTAAACGATCTTGCTGCTGTTATGAAGAAAGTTTAATTGGTCTAGATAGAAGATGAAAAAAAAACAAAAAACATTCCATTAAGCCTAAGCCTAACTTTCTTTTTACTTTTTTTTCTTTTTTTTTGAGACAGAGTTTCATTCTTCTTGCCCAAGCTGGAGTGCAATGGCGTGATCTTGGCTCATCGCAACCTCTGCCTCCCAAGTTCAAGCCATTCTCCTGCCTCAGCATCCCAAGTAGGTGGGATTACAGGCAAGCACCACCACACCTGGCTATTTTTTTGTATTTTTAGTAGAGACGGGGTTTCTCCACGTTGGTCAGACTGGTGTCGAACTCCCGACCTCAGGTGATCTGCCCTCCTCGGCCTCCCAAAGTGCTAGGATTACAGGTGTGACAGCCACCGCACCCGGCCTCTCTTCAATTCTATGAAGACTGAGAGTGGTGAGGCAGCTGCAGAAGGAAAGTCTGAAGCTAGAAGAGCTTGTTTCTTGAGGTTTAAGGAAAAAAGTCATCTCCATAACATAAAAGCGCAAGATAAAGCAGCAAGTACTGATGGAAAAGCTGCAGAAAGCTATCTAGAAGATAACTGATTAAGATGGCAACACTAAATAGATTTGCAATGGAGACAAAACAGCCTTCTACTAGAAGGAGATGCCATCTAGGATGTTCCCAGCTAGAGAGGAGTTGATGCCTGGCTTTAAGGCTTCAAAGGACATGCTGACTCTTTTGTTAAGGGCTAATGCAGTTGGTGATGTTAACTTGAAACCAATGATGATTTACTATTCTGAAAATCCAAGGGCCCTGAAGAATTATGATAAAACACAGCTCTGTCTGTACTCTACAAATGGGAACAAAGCCTGGATGACAGACTATCGGCTTACAAATATGGTTTACTGAATATCTGAAGCCCACTGTTGACACCTACTGCTCAAGAAATAAGATTCCTTTCAAAGTATTACCGCTCACTGACAATGCCCCTGGTACTCAAGGGCTTTTACAGAGATGTACAAAGAGCTGAATATTGTTTTCATGCCTACTAACCCAACATTCATTCTGGTGCCCTTGGATCAAAGAATAATTTCAACTTTCAAGTCTTATCACTTAAAAATATATTTCATAAAGCTATAACTTCTCTAGAAAGTGATTCCTTTGATGGATCTGGGCAAAATAATTGAAAACCTACTGGAAAGGATTCACCATTCTAGATGTCATTGAGAACATTCATGATTTAAAAAATAAGATCAAAATAGCAACATTAGGAGAAGTTGGGGCCGGGCGTGGTGGCTCACACTTGTAATCCCAGCATGTTGGCAGGCCAAGGCACGTGGGTCACGAGGTCAGGAATTTGAGACCAGCCTGGCCAACATAGTGAAATCCTGTCTGTACTAAAAACACACAAAAAATTAGCTGGGCCTGGTCGAGGGTGACTGTAATCCCAAACACTTGGGAGGCTGAGGCAGAATTGCTTGAACCTGGGAGGTGGAGGTTGCAGTGAGCTGGGATCGCATCACTGCACTCCAGCCCAGGCAAGACTTCATCTCAAAAAAAAAAAAAAAAAAGAGAGAGAGAGAGAAGTTGGGAAGATTATTCCAACCCTCACAGATGACACAGGGGTTCACGACTTCTGTGGAGGAGGTAACTGCAGATATGGTGGAAATAACAAGAGCACTAGAATCAGAGACAGAGCCTGAAGATCTGGTGAGACTGCAGCAGCCTCCGGAGAAAACGTGAGTGGATGAGTTGCTTCCACGGATGAGCAAAGAAAGTGGTTTCTTGAGATGAAATCTACTCGTGGTGAAGACAGTGTAAACATTGTTGAGATGACAACAGATTTAGAATAAACTTAGTTGGTACAGCAGAAGGAGGGCTTGACAGGATTGACACAATGATTTACAATAATACATAAACTTAGTTGGTACAGCTGTACGAAGGTTTGACAGGATTGAATCCAATTTGAAAGTTCTACTGTGGGTAAAAAGCTATCAAACAACATCGTATGCTACAGATAATTCTTTTGTGAAAGGGAGAGTCAATTGACACAGCAAACTTCAATGGTGTCTTATTTTAAGAAATTGCCACAGCCACCCCAACGCTCAGCAACCACCACCTTACATTAAGGCAAGACCCTCCATCAGCAAGAAGACTGAAACTTGGCCAGGTGCAGTGGCTCACACCTGTCATCCCAACACCTTGGGAGGCCAAGGTGGGTAGATTGCTTGAGCCCAGGAAGTCAAGGCAACATGGCAAAACCCCATCTCTACAAAAAAAAAAAAAATACAAAAATTAGCTGGTCATGGTGGCATGTATCTGTAGTTCCAGCTAGTCAGGAGTCTGAGGTGGGGGTTTGATTGAGCATGAGGTTGAGACTGCAATTACTCTAGCCTGAGCCACAGAGTAAAACCCTGTCACGCACACACAAAAAGACTGCAGCTTTCTGAAGGCTCAGATGACTGTTAGCACTTGTTAACAATAAAGTATTTGTAAATTAAAGTGTGAACACTTTGTAGACATATGCTATTGCACACTTTATACAACACAGTATAAACATACTTTTACATGCACTGGAAAACCAAAAGAAATTGTATAATTCACTTTATTGCAGTGGTCTGGAACCAAACCCACATATATCTCTGATGCATGGCCGTCCTGTATTGTACACTTAAAATAAAACTTAAGAGGGTATATTTTAGGTGAAATGGTCATCTCATTTTTTTTTTTTGAGACGTAGTCTCACTCTGTTGCCCAGGCTGGAGTGCAGTGGCACAATCTCAGCTCACTGCAAGCTCTGCCTCCCGAGTTCATACCACTATCCTGCCTCAGTCTCCCAAGTAGCTGGGACTACAGGTGCCCGCCATCACGCCTGGCTAATTTTCTGTATTTTTAGTAGAAACGGGGTTTCACTGTGTTAGCCAGGATGGTCTTGATCTCCTGACCTCGTGATCCACCCGCCTCGGCCTCGCAAAATGCTGGGATTACAGGCGTGAGCCACCACTCCCGGTCTCATTTTTTAAAAAGGGTCAGAATGAGAAATATATGGGGAGTGATGGTCAAGTTTACGGCATTATTTGTTGTGATGAGTCCTGGGGCGAATACTTATCTCTAAACTCATTAAGATGTATATATTCGGTGTCACACGCCTGTAATCCCAGCACTTTGGGAGACCGAGGCAGGTGGATCATCTGAGGTCAGGAGTTCGAGACCAGCCTGGCCAACATGGTGAAACCCTGTCTGTACTAAAAAAATACAAAAATTAGCCGGGTGTCGGGGCGCACGCCTGCGATCCCAGCTACTCAGGAGGCTGAGGCAGGAGAATTGCTTGAACCCGGGAGGTGGAGGTTGCAGCTAGCTGAGATCGTGTCACTGCACTCCAGCCTGGGCAACAAGAGTAAAACCTCCGTAACACACACACACACACACACACACACACACACACACACACACACACACAAAGGTATATATTAAATATGTGTAATTTTTGTATGTCAACCACACCTTAGTTTTATTTTATTTTATTTTATTTGAGACAGAGTCTCGCTCTGTCACCCAGGCTGGAGTCCAGTGGTGCAATCTCAGCTCACTGCAAGCTCCACCTCCCAGGTTCACACCATTCTCCTGCCTCAACTTCCGGAGTAGCTGGAACTACAGGCACCCGCCACCACGTCCGGCTAATTTTTTGTATTTTTAGTAGAGATGGCATTTCACCGTGTTAGCCCGGATGGTCTCGATCTCCTGACGTGATCTGCCTGCCTCAGCTTCCCAAAATGCTGCGATTACAGGTGTGAGCCACTGTGCCCAGACAATTTTTATTTTTTTGAGACAGAGTCTCACTCTGTCACCAAGGCTGGAGTGCAGTGGCACTATCTTGGCTCACTGCAACCTCTGCCTCCCATGTTCAAGCAATTCTGCTGCCTCAGTCTCCTGAGTAGCTGGGACTACAGATGCATGCTATCACGCCTGGCTAATTTTTTGATTTTTAATAGAGATGAGGTTTCACCATGTTGGCCAGGCTGGTCTCAAACTCCTGACCTCATGTGATCTGCCCACCTCAGCCTCCCAAAGTGCTGGGATTACAGGTGTAAGCCACTGCACCCGGCAATTTTTAAATATATATAATTAAAAATTAATAAAAAAAGGTATTTGCAAGTTTCCGTTTTGTTATATACTTATTATTCTTTATCTTTATGTCAGGTTGCTGTGTCAATACACTTAGGAGATCATAGTTTCTAAATTGAAATACAAATAAATATGTCTCAAGTTTTTTCTTTTTTCTTTTTTTTTTGAGATGGACTCATTCTGTCACCCAGGCTGGAGTGCAGTGGTGCAATCTCAGCTCACTGCAACCTCCGCCTCCCAGATTCAAGTGATTCTCCTGCCTCAGCCTCCAGAGTAGCTGGGATTACAGGCACCCGCCATGACACCCAGCTAGCTTTTATATATTTTTTTTCTATTTTTAGTAAAGACAGGGTTTCACCATGTTGGCCAGGCTGGTCTCCAACTCCTGACCTCAGATGATCCTCCCACCTCGGCCTCCTCAAGTGCTGGGACTACAGGTGTGAGCCAGTGTGCCTGGCCTGGAATTTTTTTCTAAAATTTACATTTCTGAGTTAAGAATGCTTAAAATATTATAAAAACAGAAGCACAATTCATTATGTGTTTCATTAATTACCTCTATTAAAAACAACACAATTATATTACAATAGGACAAAAAAAATGTTTAAGCAAATGAAAACAAAACCATGACATACCCAAACTCAGGAGGAGGCAACAAAGGCAGTGCTAAAGGGAAGCTTACAGCCGCAGATGCTTAAATTAAAAAGAAGAAAGATCTCAAAGCCATGCTAAAGGGAAGCTTATAGCTGCAGGTGATTAAATTAAAAAGAAGAAAGATCTCAAATCAATAACCTAACATTACACCTAAAGGGAAAAAAAAAAAAAACTAATGACAAACCAAGCAAAAGGAAGAAAATAACAGATTAGAACAGAGATAAGCAGAATAAGACCAGAAAAAAAGGAAAAAAAAACCACTGAGTTTGTTTTTTTAAAGATCAATAAAAATTTTAAAACTCACAGCTATATTAAGAAAAAAAGAGAAATCTCAAATACTAAAATCATAAATAAAAGAGGTGACAGTACAACAGATTCCACAGAAATGAAAAAGATTACAAGAGACTAATGTGAGCAACCATATGCCACAGAACTGGGCAACCTAGAATAAATTTATAAATTCCTAGAAACACAAACCACCATACTGCATCATGGAGAAATAAAAAATCCAAAGAGACCTGTAACTAGTAAGAAGATTCAACCAGTAATCAAAAACCCCCCAAAAAAGAAAATTCCAGGTCCAGATAACTTCACTGGAAAATTTTACCAAACATTTCAAGAAGAATTAATGCCAGCCCTTTGCAAAATATTCCAAAAATGTTCAAAAACCAGAAGGGGACATTCCAATCCATTCTATCAGGTCAACATTTATCTGGTTCCAGAGCCAGATGAACACCTTTTGTAATAAAAACACTCAAAGAATTAGTAATATATGGAAACTCCTCAGTAAATAAAGATTATACATGAAAAGCTCACAGCTAACATCATACTGAATGGTGAAAAACTAAAATCTTTTCCTCTAGGATCAGGAATAAGATAGCAACATCTCTTCCTGCCACTTCTATTCACCACAGTACTGGAATTTCTACTCAGAATAATTAGGCAAGAGAAAGTAATAAAAAGCATGCAAATTGGAAAGGAAAAAGTACAAAATTTTGTTCACAGACAACATGATGTAATGTGTAAAAATCCTGAAATTCCACAAAATACTGGTAGAATAATGAAATTCAACAAAGTTTCAGGATACAGTAACACACACAAGTCAGTTCCATTTCTATAAACTAACAATGAACAATCTGCAAATAAAATTTTAAAAAGAGGCCAGGTGCAGTGGGTTACAGTTGTAATCCCAGCACTTTGGAAGGCCAAGGCGGGTGGACCACCTGAGGTCAGGAGTTCGTGACCAGCTGGGTCAACCCCATCTCCAATATAAATAGTAAAACTCTATCGCTATTAAAAATACAAAAATTAGCTGGGCATAGTGGCAGACACCTGTAGTCCCAGCTACTTGGGAGGCTGAGGCAGAAGAATTGCTTGAACTTGGAAGGTGGAGGTTGCAGTCAGCTGAGATTGTGCCACTGTGCTCCAGCTTAGGAAACAGAGTGAGACACCGTCTCAAAAAAAAGAAAGAAAGGAAAGAAAGAGAGAGAAAGAAAAGAAAAGAAAAGAAAGAGAAAACAAAAGAAAAGAAATTTTTAAAAAGAATGACATTTGGCTGGGTGCAGTGGTTCATGCCTGCAATCCCAGCAGTTTGGGAGGCCGAGGCGGGCAGATCACCTGAGGTCACAAGTTCAAGACTAGCCTGGTCAACATGGAGAAACACTGTCTCTACTAAAAATACCAAAAAGTTAGCTGGGCATGGTGGCGCGCACCTGTGATCCCAGGTACTTGAGAGGCTGAGGTTGGAGAATCGCTTGAATAAGGAAGGTGCAGGTTGCAGTGACCTGAGATAGTGCCACTGCACTCCAGCCTGGGAGACAGAGCAAGACTCCATCTCAAAAAAAAAAAAAAATTATATTTACAACAGCATTATAAAAATTAGAAATAAGCTTAACCAAGAGGGCAAAAGATTTGAACACAGAAAACTACAAAACACTGTTAAAAGAAATTAAACACAAATAAATGAAAAGAAAAGCTGGGTTTGCAAATTAGATGATTTCATCTTGGAATGATGTCAACACTACTCGAAGTGACCTAGATTCAATACAATCCTTATAAAGATTCCAATGACATTTTTGATAAACAGAAAAACCTATCCTAAAACTCATATGGAATCTCCAGGGCCCATGAATAGGCAAATCAATCTTGAAACAGAACAAAATTAAAGGTCTCAAAGCAATTACAAAACTGCAATAAGCCAAAAAAAAAAAATGTGGTCATGGCATAAAGACACTCTTGACACACTTATGGACCAACACAACAGAGACCTCAGAAACCAACCCTGGCATATATGGTCCGATGATCTTCCAGAAGGATGCCAAGACCACTCAATGGCAAAGCACAGTTTCTTCAACAAGTGGTGATGGGAAAATTGTATAACTACATGCAAAACAATGAAGTTGGACTCTTACCTTACACCACGTTAAAATCAATTCAAAGTGAATTATAAACCTAAATGTAAAACTAGAACTATCAAACTCCTAGGGAAAACAAATTTGGAAAATGCTTTATGACGATGAATTTGTCAATAATTTTTAGGATATGACATTAAAAGCTCAGGCAGTAAAAGCAAAAATATATCAAACCTAAAAACTTCTGTACCTCAAAGGTCACAACCAACAGGGTAAAAGGCAAACTGTAAAATTAAAAAAAATACCAGTTGAGTGTCCCTTATTTGAAATGCTTGGGATGTGTTTCAGATTTTGTAATATTTGCATTATTCTTACTGGTTGAGGATCTCAAATTCAAACACCTGAGTCTGAGATGCTCCAATAAGCATTTCCTTTGAGTGTCATGTTGGCACTCAAAAAGTTTCAGACTTTGGAGCATTTGGGATTTCAGATTTTTGGATCAGAGACATTCAACCTATAGTTGCACATCATGTATCTCATAAGAAGTGAACATTCAGAATGCGTAAAGAACTCCTACAGAGAGACTACCAGAAGCAGAGAGGAGCAAACACATTTTCACACTAGGGAACCTGCTATCTCTCCTGGATTCCAATTAGGGCAGAGTAAGTGCTAGTTCTCTGCCAACCCAGGATTAGGCCCTGCAGCTGCAGTGAAAATAATCACAGAAGAAAACTAAGAAATAAAAAATGGAGAAAGTGAGACATCAAACTAGAATTACTAGAAACCTCCAGGAAGAAGGAAAAAAAATCCAAGAAAACAGAAAAACAATCAAACCAGTTAATTAAACCTTGGTGTGACCAGAAGATCAGGGTTTCCTAAAGGAGTGGAAATTTATTGACTTGAAGGCGATTCATTGATTACTGATTTGAAGAGGAAGAAAACCATGAATGGTCTAAAGCAAAAGCCTAGTGTCTGAAGAAGTCAGTAGGGTGAAAACAAGAGCTGGCCAGAATGTCCACAGATGGTGACAAGTTTGCAAAGCCTTTACTAGACTACTTGTGAAGCTAACTAGAGGCCAAGGAGCCAACACTGCCCCTGTCCTTACAGAGAGACCCTACACAGGATTCCCAGATATACATGGAAGGACAACATCTTATCAGGTCCTCTCTGTGCAGATGTGGTTATCATTCCAAATAATGAGCTCCAGCCCCAAGACTGTTCCATCCTCAATTGCTTTGAGTGGGCAATGTAGGCTCTCCACACACGAGCTACATGTAGGTTCCTTGGGTACCCAGATGGGAGCCGTGAAACATAAACCCTCCATGGTCAGGTCAGTATCTGTTTCCTGCCTTTTTCCCAGCAATCCCCAGGCCTCAGCAGCAGTGGTCTACCTCTGCTGATTCTCATTCAGAATCTAAACTTAGAAACAATTAGAACCTAGACCCGAATTCTACCTGAAAGTAACAGAATAACATAATCTATACCCTGCAGCATGACTGTTTGCCCAACGTAATGAGGATGAACTGAGAGATAATGAATGATCATGACCCTGGCCCAAGTAACAAGAATGAACTGTGAGATAAATGAATGCTCATGACCAAAAAACCCAGCTACAACACAACAAAATAAAGTGATTAAAAAATGGACAAAGAACATTCATCCAAAGATGCAAAGATGATATACAAATAGCCAACAGATACATGAGATATATGAGAAGATGTGTAACATCACTAATCATTAGAGAAATGCAAATAGAAACCACAATGGGACATCACTTCAAACCCAACAGAAAGTAACAAGTGCAGGTGAAACTGAAACACTTGAACACTGTTGGTGGAAATATTAACTGGCTCCTCAAAAAAATAAAATAAAATGACCATATGATCCAGCCATCCAACTTCTACAGAGACAGAATAACTAGTAGCAGGACCTCAAACAGATATGTGCACACCTGTGTTCACAGGAGCATTACATAGCCACGAGGTGGAAGAAACCAAAACGTCCATCCAGGAATAGATGGATAAACAAAAGAATATACATATATATATATAGAGAGAGAAAATATATATATATGAAGAAATATTATTCAGCCATAGAAAGGAAGAAAATCCTGACACATCTGCACATAACATGGAACCTACTTAAAAAACAAATATTATAAAACCCTAGGTATATAAGCCAAATTTTTAGAAACACAAAGTAGAATAGTACTTGCCAGGAGGTGGAAGGAAGGGGAAATTAATAGTTGTTGAATGGGTATAGAGTTTTCTAAGATAAAAAAAAATCTAGAAATCTGCTACACAACAATGTAAATATTCTTAACTCTACAAAACTGTATACTTACAACTGGTTATGATGGTAAATTTTAAGGTATGTGTTTGTTACCAAAATTCGAAATTATAAATTATTTATAAAAAATGATCTTTTTTGACACACGGTCTTACTCTGTTGCCGTGGCAGGAGTGGAATGGCATGATCACAGCTCATTGCAGCCTCAACCTCCCAGGCTCAAGCAACCCTCCCACCTCAGCCTCCCAAATAGTTAGGACTACAGGTGCACACCAAGATGTCAGGCTAAATTTTGGTTTGGTTTTTTTGTAGAGAGGGTTTTGCCATGTTGCCCAGGCTGGTCTCAAACTCCTGGGTTCAAGCAATCCACCTCCCTTGGCCTCCCACAGAGCTGAGATTATGAGCATAAGCCAACATGCCCAGCCTATAAAAAATTATTTCCAAAAGCCAAAAGATTAATCAAACTGGAATATTTAGAAATATTTAACCCAAAAGAAGTTAGGAAAGAATATATAGAAGATCAAAAGACAGACGAAGGCCAGGCATGGTGGCTCATGCCTGTAATCTGAACACTTTGGGAGGCCAAGGTGGGTAGATTGCTTGAGCTCAGTAGTTCAAGACCAGCCTGTGCAACATGGCAAAACCCTATCTCTACAAAAATATAAAAATTAGCCAGGTGTGGTGCCATGCACCTGTAGTCCCAGCTACTCAGGGGGCTCAAGTGAGGATTGGTTGGGCCTGGGAGGCAGAGGTTGCAGTGAGCCAAGATTGCACCATTGCACTACAGTCTGGGTGACAGAACAAGACCCTGTCTTAAAAAAAAATAAACAAACAAATAGAAAATAAGTAGAAAAATGGCAGACCTAAATCCAACCTTAGCAATGATTAGTTACAATGTAAGTGGACAAATACTCTACTTAAGACAGAGACTGCCAGACCTGAGAGGAAGGCAAGACCCAACAATATGGCATCCACAGAGACACAATTTAAACACAAAGACACAAAGTATGAGAAAAAATATGCTATGCAGATGCTAAACATAAAAATATGCTATCCAGACACTAATCATAAAAAGCTTCAACAGAGATGTTAACACTAGATGAAAGAGGCTTCAGAACAAAATATATCACCAGAAATAAACAGGGTAATTTAATAAAAATAAAAGAATCAGAGAGGATGATGTTACAATTATAAATTGTGCCTCAAAGTGCACACAAACTACACACACACACACAGAGCCTCAAAGTATGTGAATCAAAAACAACAGAACAAAAGCAGGAAATTGACAATCCAAAATTATAGCTGGTGAATTAATACTGCTCTCTCAGTAACTGACGGAACAACCAGATAAAAATATAGGAAAAATACGGATCTAAATGACAAAATCCTGACCCAAATGGTACTTGGCAGTGCCAAGATAGACTGTATGTCGATGGATTGAGAAAAGGTTCAAGCCTGAAATAGTATACAAAGGATGTTGTCTGAACACTTGAAATTAAATTAGAAACCAACAACAAATTGATATCCAGAAAAGCCTCAAATGTCTGAAAACCAAGTAATAAACTTTGAAATACCCTGTGAGTCAAAAAAGTATTCACAAGGGGAACTGGAATGTATTTGGAATAAACTTGTTATAAAAATCTCATTTCTGGTAGACTAAAGGTGACAAATTCTTTCCTGCTCCTCTCTCTGTGAGAACCAATTCCCCTTAAACCTTGACCAGACTACTGACTTATTTGGCCAACAGAAGGTGACAAAGGTGGTATTTGGGGACTTCAGAAGCCAGGCTGAGAAAACAGAACACTTACCCAGGAGAAAGCCAGTCACCAGGCAGGAAATCCCACTCCCCTGAGACCTCATGATGGAAACCACAAGGCCAGTCCATGACTAGCTACATGCATTGACATCCCCCACTGAGCCTCCAGCAACACTGACTCCCAACAACTAGTGAGCCTCCAGCAACATCCACTCCCAACCACTAGTGAGCCACCCTGCACACCACCCCACTGTGCTTTCACACAATCCAGCTTGGCTGCAACTGTGTGTGAGATGAGCTGGCCACCAAGACTCTCTAAGCCAAAAAACAAGTAATAATGAGTTGTTTTACTTCAGAATAGATAACTGGAACAGAATATGGCAGCTGGAAATGAGCTGCTGTGGTAATCAGAAGCTACAATATGTGACACGACTGTGAGGCTGACCTGTAACTGGGCCTCAAGGAGACCATTCATGCAACCTGGAAGGGCATCAAGACTCTTGGTCAGGGCCTGAAGGACGGTGAGAAAATGTCATTGGAAACTGGAGAAAAGGTCTGAGAGTTACTTGCTGAGGGACTGTGGGAAAACTATGGCCACAACATGGAAACTGAAAGGGCACTGCACCATCTCAGGGATCTGCCTAAGGAGACATCTGGGAAGAACATGGAAAGTGCTACCAGCCTCCCCTAACTGTCACTGAATAAATATGACAGGAGAGGGACATGATCTAAAGAAGAAGGTTCAGTTTTCAAACAGAATTTAGAGAAAATATAAAGAAATAATTTCTTGTCTCAAAAGGCCAAAGTAAAAAAAAAAGAAAAGAAAAGAAAAGGAAAAAAAATGAAAAAGAAGCCATTGAATACCCTATTGACCATAAGAAAAAGGCAGGGAAAGCTGGTCAACGGCAACCCAGGCACTGAAGGAAAAAGAACATGGAGAATGACAAAAGCCCAGAGGGAGGAGTAAAAGGACACAAACACCATTCTCAGGGACCAGGACTGGGCGCCGTTTTCAGGGACCAGGACTGGGCACTAATCACAGAACTGTAACAGGCGCCCCATGGGAATGACCAACTGTTAGACGGGGCCTGCAGGGCAGCACTTCCCTCTTGCCTCCCACCAAAGCTTCTAAAGGGAAATGTCGACTGTTTTCACAGCAGTCCCCTCACTGCGGCTGAGTTTGTGGGCTCAGATGATAGCTCACAACAACCTGATTCAGTCCCCACTGTGGCTGTGTGTGGGGGGTCAGATGACAGGCCACCACAACCTGATTCAGTCCTCACTGCAGCTGAGTGTGTGTGGGTGCAGATGACAAGCCACCACAACCTGATTCAGGATTCAGTTGGGCTACTAGCCAGTGCCATAAGGAAAACCATTCTGGGGCTCTTGAGAGGGGCAAAGCATAATTTGCATGTGGGAGAAACGTTAATAGTTTGTGGCCAGAGGACAAGCTGTGGTTTATTAAAGACTGCTGCAGGTTCCTACTATGCTTCTCATCAAGAGGTGGAATCTAATCACCTTTCCCCCTTGAATCATGGCTGGTCTCAGTGATGAGTACAACTGGACAGTGTGGCAGGAGAGATGCTCTGGGACTTCTGAGGGATGATCATGAGAGACCTTACAGCTTCTGCCTGGGCCTCTTGGACACACACCCTGGGAGAAGCCAGACAAACCTGACTACCTGATGCTACCAGACTGGAAGGAAGTCCGTGCTGGCCACAAAGAGAGGGCTGGGTGCCTGCTCCGTGTCCCCAGCCACTAGAGTCCTTCTGGGTGCCTGCTTCACGTCCCCAGCCACTAGAGTCCTTCCAGATGAGACCAGGGACATCATGAAGCAACCAACCCACACCGCTCTGTCCAGTGTCTTGACCCAGAAAATTGTGACATGTAAAAAGAATAAATTCCTGGTTTAAGCCAGTAAGGTTACGGGTACATTGTTACATCTCAGATAATTAAAACCTTGAAAAACTCATGAGAGATCACAAGTAGAACCTTGATCTGAAACATGGCATGTGGCGATTTATATTGAGTATTAGGTTAAAAATGCAAGAATGGAGCATAGTTAATATTTTACATTAAAGCTAAAACCATAATTGCCTACTTAAAATTTTCAGTTAATTAGGTTGTCACTTTTTGTTCTTAACCAAGAAATCAACTAGTTTTAGTCCATAAACAGTTAGAACTGATGCACACATCCGTTTTTCCTTACTCATTTTAAACAGCTATCTGAAATAGGAAGTGTAATATAATCTTTAAAGAATCTGAAAACATGACAGAAATGTTTAAACTATAAACATATATTGTATATGTTAGCATATTGTATACATTGCATATTAACATAAGCTAGAATCATTGACATAAATTTATATAAACAAAAGGTATAAAATATGATAATGTTCTTCTTGTTTTTTGTCTTTGCATATTTCTTTATTGGCCCTTGTCAAACATGACCCACTAACTCCTGAATGCTTTGTCTCTCCCCATGGATTCCTAAGGATGTCACCACAGTGTTGGCCAGATGCACAGGTCACAGGGGACTGAACCTCATCACCCCACAAACATACCATTCAGGTTTTGCCAAGAATGACACTGTAAATGTAACAAAGCTTCTGTGCTTGTTAGTGAACACCAACTCAGCTCCTCTCCTGTATTCAGAAATCAGGATGAGATGAAAACAACAAGCAGGCCAGGCACGGTGGCTCAGGCCTGTAATCCCAGCACTTTGGGAGGCCGAGGTGGGCAGATCACCTGAGGTCGGGAGCTCGAGACCACCCTGATCAAAACAGAGAAACCCCATCTCTACTAAAAATACAAAATTAGCCAGGCGTGGTGGCAAATGCCTGTAATACCAGCTACTCAGGAGCTGAGGCAGGAGAATTGCTTGAACCCGGGAGGTGGAGGCTGCAGTGAGCCGGGATCACACCACTGCGCTCTAGCCTGGGCAACAAGAGTGAAACTCTGTCTCAAAAGAAAAAAAATTAAAAATAAAAGAACAAGGAAACAAAAGTAACAAGGCTTGACACCAGATGAGCCTGAATCTAAGCAAGAAAAGCCCAGAAAAAATCCCATTTTGGGTCACTGGCTGCATGGTAGTAATACCATACACATAAGGGAAGAGAGGAGGATGTGGCTTTCACTTTGAATTTTTTTAGCTTAAGGTAACATTTGCGTAGCTACAAATAAGAATTCAACAGAGAGTTAAACCTATGATGGAAAGATTGAAGGGGTCCAAGCTGTAGAGAAACAGGACTGCAAACCACAAAGGGCAGAATCAGTCAAGGAGAGCTGCAGGGCGGGATGAACAGGGACCAATGGAACATTTGGACAAGCTGTTGAGAAGAAAGGAAAATTCAGAGAAAAAGAACTGTCAGTGAGGTCATAATAGGAACTGTTACAGTGAACTAAATATGGCCTGGGAAGGACTCTGTACTTCTAGATTTGAGTCCCTGTGGACAAACTGCAACCTAACTTAATAGGTAGAAAGACTGATAACCTAACTTTGGAGTATGCACCTGTAACTATAGCTGAGTCCTGGCCAATCCCAACAGCCAAACTTCTGCCACTCACACACTGCTGAGTGTTCAGCTGTGTTCAAATAAGGCAAATGCTGAGCACTGTAACCAGTCCAGTTGTTTCTGGACCTCACTGCTGAGAACTGTAACGGACCCAGTTGCTTCTGGACCTCACTCCTCACTTCAGATTTCTGTACATCACGTTCCCTTTATTGTCTATAAATCTTCCACCATGTAGCTGTGCTGGAGTCTCACCAAATCTGCTGTGATTCTGGGGGCTGCCTGATTCGTGAATCATTCATTGCTCAATTAAGTTCCTTTAAATTTAATTCAGCTGAAGATTTTCTTTTAATAGATGGTGTCAGAAGTGGGATCTGTGGGAGCAGGACTGCTAGGGCCTCCGGAGCTATAGTGTGGTGAGCAGTGTTGCTAGGGCTTCTAATGACCCCCAGGAGTGCTGAGGTACAAGAAAGGCACCTGCAAGGACCGCTCTATGATGGCAGCAGTGGCCCATGTGGAGCAGTTGCTACGGAGACACTGGCTGCAGTGGGGAGGAGTGGCTGGGGCTGTGAACTCCTCAAAGTTAGTGGGAGCCAGGAACAGGTGAGAGACCCACCCCTTCTAAATTGGCAGGCAGGAGCCCCACCCTCCCAGGCACAGCTGCAGCCATCCACCCATGACAGCAAACCCGGGCATCTTTGCACTCTCAGAGGCCCAGCAAGCCCCCCTGCCCCCGCAGACCCAGTCATACCTGCTCCCACCACCTGGCATGTCTCCGCTCCCAGAGCCCACTCCAACTTCGGATCCAAATTGAGGTTGAACCCAGGCACAGTCGCAACCCAGCCCAGTTTGTGCAAGCTCAGGGCAGTGCTGACATGCCAGCCCCCTGCCACCTCGGCCCCCTCCACACTTTGGGAACTGATGAGCACAGGAGGGACGTTGAGGTGGGGCTAAGAGTGGCTCAGCACTGGCTTGAAGGCACTCCTCAGCTCGAAAAGCCTGGGCACTGTGGGCATAGCTAACCACCATGCATCTCTCTCAGCTGCTGAGAGCTGAACAGACATTGGGATGACCTGCCTGCCGAAAGGAGCTACCCACTGCACGTCTCCTCTGAGCTGTACTGTTGCTCAATAAAGCACCTCTTCACCTTGCTCACCTTCTACTTGCCCACATACCTCATTCTTCCTGGACTCAGGACAAGAACTCGGGACCTGCCAACTAGCAGGGCTGAAAGAGGTGTAACATAAACAGGGCTGAAACGCACCCCTTGCTTGCCAAATTGCAGGCAAGAAGAAGAGAAGAGAGAAGGAGAGAAGAGCTGTGGCCCTTCAGGGAGCCCAGACCTAGGAGCTCCCCAAGCCAGGGCTGTGACACCTTATTTGGGGCTCTGCAGTTCCTGCATCTCGAAGCTTCCAGGCACCGCTGCATTCCCTGATACCCACAGTGGAAGCTGTTTGCAGTCAGCCTGGTCCAGCTGCAGCCTCACAGGGAGCTGGCACCTGTGGCGGTGCCTGGAGCTGCCCACCCCACTGCAGCTGGCATGCTTGGCTGTGTGCAGTGGCCAGATCCCATGCTCGCTTGCTCACACACCCTTCACTGCTCTGTACCCAGCTCACCCTTGGCAGGTGTGGGATCCAGACCACTAGCATGAGCCAAGTGGACAGAACGAACCCAGTGGGCCCGAGCAAAACACAGGTAAAGGCGCCACCAGCCAGAGGTTTCAGGCAGAAAAGTGACGCCTCAGGATTCTGTAACACTTGTGCCCTTTGACCTCTCAGAGCATCTGGGGATCGTGGTAAATTCTCTCTCGGATTTCAGAGCTCCATGAATTTGTGTTTTGAGCTGAGTTTCTCTGAGCAAATTTCTGTTCCAAACTGCTATCCAGCCATGACTGGCTGGATGTTTTAGAAGTTATGACAGAAACGGGACCGGGTCCAGGATCAGATTTGATCCAGTAATTAACTGGCTTGAATCCAGTTCCAGTTAGAGGCCTCCTACATCTGAATGGGTCAGAAGGAAAGTGGTAGTAAATGATAATATTGGAGGGTTGTAAAATTTGGCTTTTGGAAATTCACGGGGATTTTTGTGTTCTGCCCCTTTGTTTCATTTTCCTCACACGCTTAGGTAGGAAAAAAAATCATTGGCTAAGTCAATCAAGGGAACCTGAGAGTAAAGCCAATATATTAGGTAAAAATAGGATCCTTAATTTCTGGAAAACTAAGTTCTTTCTGGCTAATTCATTAGGCCTGGGAAGCAGCAAAGTCTTACAGAAATGGCAAAATCTTACTAAAGATAACTTATAGTGTAACATTCCAAATGAATAATGCCCTGAAGTGCATTTAAAAATGATGGCTCCCAAATTAGTCTCATCTAGGGATGCCTATTAACATGCAGAAGCTTCTAAAAAGATTTAGAGATGGCATGGCCTATCTGGGAGCAAGTTTGAGTCTTACCAGTTTGACACTGGGTGCTAAGCAAAGTGGCTCGTGTCTATGTTTTGTCACATATATTTTGCTCTGAGCAGAATGAAAAATGTTAATTTGGTTACTCCAAGCAACCCCTTGGGCAGCATCTTGCAAAGCTAAGTGGATTCTTCCTGTGGCTCCATGATTTCCATTGTGATGCAGCTTGGCCCCCAGAGCTATAATGTGGTGAGGAGGGTGACAGAGCAAGACGCTATCTTTAAAAAAAAATGGCCCGGGGCAGTGGCTCACAGCTGTAATCCCAACACTTGGGGAGGCCGAGGCAGGTGGATCACATGAGGTCAGGAGTTCAAGGCCAGCCTGACCAACAAGGAAAAACCCCGTCTCTACTAAAAACACAAAATTAGCTGGGCATGGTGGGGCATGCCTCTAATCCCAGCTACTCAGGAGGCTGGGGCTGGAGAATCACTTGAACCTGGGAGGCAGGGGGTTGTAGTAAACCGAGATCGCACCATTGCACTCCAGCCTGGGCAACAAAAGGGAAAATCCATCTCAAAAAAGAAAAGAATAATAGATTTGCCTGTAAGGTTTTATGAAAAAGTGGGTGACATTTGGCTTTCTCTCTTTAAAGAAGATTTTCAGAAAATATTAAAAAATAATGGGAGGAGGAGCCAAGATGGCCGAATAGGAACAGCTCCGGTCTACAGCTCCCAGCATGAGCGATGCAGAAGATGGGTGATTTCTGCATTTCCATTTGAGGTACTGGGTTCATCTCACTAGGGAGTGCCAGACAGTGGGTGCAGGACAGTGGGTGAAGTGCACTGTGCACTAGCCAAAGCAGGGCAAGACATTGCCTCACTCGGGAAGCGCAAGGGGTCAGGAAGTTAGTTCCCTTTCCTGGTCAAGGAAAGGGGTGACAGATGGCACCTGGAAAATCGGGCCACTGCCACCCTAATACTGAGCTTTTCTGACGGGCTTAGGAAACGGCACACCACGAGATTATATCCCGCACCTGGCTCGGAAGGTCCTATGCCCACGGAGTCTCGATGATTGCTAACACAGCAGTCTGAGATCAAACTGCAAGGCAGCAGCGAGGCTGGGGGAGGGGCACTGGCCATTGCCCAGGCTCTCTTAGGTAAACAAAGCAGCCTGGAAGCTCGAACTGGGTGGAGCCCACCACAGCTCAAGGAGGCCTGCCTGCCTCTGCAGGCTCCACCTCTGGGGGCAGGACACAGACAAACAAAAAGACAGCAGTAACCTCTGCAGACTTAAATGTCCCTGTCTGACAGCTTTGAGGAGAGCAGTGGTTCTCCCAGCACGCAACTGGAGATCTGAGAATGGGCAGACTGCCTCCTCAAGTGGGTCCCTGACCCCTGACCCCCGAGCAGCCTAACTGGGAGGCACCCCCTAGCAGGGGCAGACTGACACCTCACACGACCAGGTACTCCTCTGAGACAAAACTTCCAGAGGAACGATCAGACAGCAGCATTCGCGGATCATGAAAATCCACAGTTTTGCAGACACCACTGCTGATACCCAGGCAAACAGGGTCGGGAATGGGCCTCTAGAAAACTCCAACAGACCTGAAACTGAGGGTACTGTCTGTTAGAAGGAAAACTAAAAAACAGAAAGGACATCCACACCAAGAACCCATGTGTACATCACCATCATCAAAGACCAAAAGTAGATAAAACCACAAAGATGGGGAAAAAACAGAACAGAAAAACTGGAAACTCTAAAAAGCAGAGCGCCTCTCCTCCTCCAAAGGAATGCAGTTCCTCACCAGCAACGGAACAAAGCTGGATGGAGAATGACTTTGACGAGCTGAGAGAAGGCTTCAGATGATCAAATTACTCTGAGCTATGGCAGGACATTCAAACCAAAGGCAAAGTTGAAAACTTTGAAAAAAATTTAGAAGAATGTATAACTAGAATAACCAATAGAGAGAAGTTCTTAAAGGAGTTGATGGAGCTGAAAACGAAGGCTCGAGAACTACGTGAAGAATGCAGAAGCCTCAGGAGCCGATGCGATCAACTGGAAGAAAGGGTATCAGCGATGGAAGATGAAATGAATGAAATGAAATGAGAAGGGAAGTTTAGAGAAAAAAGAATAAAAAGAAATGAGCAAAGCCTCCAAGAAATATGGGACTATGTGAAAAGACCAAATATACATCTGATTGGTGTACCTGAAAGTGATAGGGAGAATGGAACCAAGTTGGAAAACACTGCAGGATATTATCCAGGAGAACTTCCCCAATCTAGCAAGGCAGGCCAACATTCAGATTCAGAAAATACAGAGAACGCCACAAAGATACTCCTCGAGAAGAGCAACTCCAAGACACATAATTGTCAGATTCACCAAAGTTGAAATGAAGGAAAAAATGTTAAGGGCAGCCAGAGAGAAAGGTCGGGTTACCCTCAAAGGGAAGCCCATCAGACTAACAGCGGATCTCTCAGCAGAAACCCTACAAGCCAGAAGAGAGTGGGGGCCAATATTCAACATTCTTAAAGAAAAGAATTTTCAACCCAGAATTTCATATCCAGCCAAGCTAAGCTTCATAAGCAAAGGAGAAATAAAATACTTTACAGACAAGCAAATGCTGAGAGATTTAGTCACGACCAGGCCTGCCTTACAAGAGCTCCTGAAGGAAGCACTAAACATGGAAAGGATCAACTGGTACCAGCCGCTGCAAAATCATGCCAAAATGTAAACACCGTCGAGACTAGGAAGAAACTGCATTAACTAACGAGCAAAATAACCAGCTAACATCATAATGACAGGATCAAATTCACACATAACAATATTAACTTTAAATGTCAATGGACTAAATGCTCCAATTAAAAGACACAGACTGGCAAATTGGATAAAGAGTCAAGAACCATCAGTGTGCTGTATTCAGGAAACTCATCTCACGTGCAGAGACACACATAGGTTCAAAATAAAAGGATGGAGGAAGATCTACCAAGCAAATGGAAAACAAAAAAAGGCAGGGGTTGTAATCCTAGTCTCTGATAAAACAGACTTTAAACCAAGAAAGATCAAAAGAGACAAAGAAGGCCATTACATAATGGTAAAGGGATCAATTCAACAAGAAGAGCTAACTATCCTAAATATACATGCACCCAATACAGGAGCATGCAGATTCATAAAGCAAGTCCTGAGTGACCTACAAAGAGACTTAGACTCCCACACATTAATAATGGGAGACTTTAACACCCCACTGTCAACATTAGACAGATCAACAAGACAGGAAGTCAAAAAGCATACCCAGGAATTGAACTCAGCTCTGCACCAAGCGGACCTAACAGACATCTCCAGAACTTTCCACCCCAAATCAACAGAATATACATGTTTTCAGCACCACACCACACCTATTCCAAAATTGACCACATACTTGGAAGTAAAGTTCTCCTCAGCAAATGTAAAAGAACAGAAATTATAAGAAACTATCTCTCAGATGACAGTGCAATCAAACTAGAACTCAGGATTAAGAATCTCACTCAAAACTGCTCAACTACATGGAAACTGAACAACCTGCTCCTGAATGACTACTGGGTACATAAGGAAATGAAGGCAGAAATAAAGATATTCTTTGAAACCAATGAGAACAAAGACACAACATACCAGAATCTCTGGGACGCATTCAAAGCACTGTGTAGAGGGAAATTTATAGCACTAAATGCCCACAAGGGAAAACAGGAAAGATCCAAAATTGACACCCTAACATCACAATTGAAAGAACTAGAAAAGCAAGAGCAAACACATTCAAAAGCTAGCAGAAGGCAAGAAATAACTAAAATCAGAGCAGAACTGAAGGAAATAGAGACAAAAAATCCCTTCAAAAAATTAATGAATCCAGGAGCTGGTTTTTTGAAAGGATCAGCAAAATTGATAGACCTCTAGCAAGACTAATAAAGAAAAAAAGAGAGAAGAATCAAATAGACGCAATAAAAAATGATAAAGGGGATATCACCACCAATCCCAGCAAAATACTAACTACCATCAGAGAATAATACAAACACCTCTACGCAAATAAACTAGAAAATCTAGAAGAAATGGATAAATTCCTCGACACATACACTCTCCGAAGACTAAACCAGGAAGTTGAATCTCTGAATAGACCAATAACAGGAGCCAAAATTGTGGCAATAATCAATAGCTTACCAACCAAAAAGAGTCCAGGACCAGATGGATTCACAGCCGAATTCTACCAGAGGCACAAGGAGGAACTGGTACCATTCCTTCTGAAACTATTCCAATCAACAGAAAAAGAGGGAATCCTCCCTAACTCATTTAATGAGGCCAGCATCATTCTGACACCAAAGCCAGGCAGAGACACAACCAAAAAAGAGAATTTTAGACCAATATCCTTGATGAACATTGATGCAAAAATCCTCAATAAAATACTGGCAAACCTAATCCATTAACACATCAAAAAGCTTATGCAACTTGATCAAGTGGGCTTCATCCCTGGGATGTAAGGCTGGTTCAATATACACAAATCAATAAATGTAATCCAGCATATAAACAGAGCCAAAGACAAAAACCACATGATTATCTCAATAGATTCAGAAAAGGCCTTTGACAAAATTCAACAATGCTTCATGCTAAAAACTCTCAATAAATTAGGTATTGATAGGACGCATTTCAAAATAATAAGAGCTATCTATGACAAACCCACAGCCAATATCATTCTGAATGGACAAAAACTGGAAGCATTCCCTTTGAAAACTGGCACAAGACAGGGATGGCCTCTCTCACCACTCCTATTCAACATAGTGTTGGAAGTTCTGGCCAGGGCAATTAGGCAGGAGAAGGAAATAAAGGGTATTCAATTAGGAAAAGAGGAAGTCAAATTGTCCCTGTTTGCAGACGACATGATTGTATATCTAGAAAACCTCATCGTCTCAGCCCAAAATCTCCTTAAGCTGATAAGCAACTTCAGCAAAGTCTCAGGATACAAAATCAATGTACAAAAATCACAAGCATTCTTATACACCAACAACAGACAAACAGAGAGCCAAATCATGAGTGAACTCCCATTCACAATTGCTTCAAAGAGAATAAAATACCTAGGAATCCAACTTACAAGGGATGTGAAGGACCTCTTCAAGGAGAACTACAAACCACTGCTCAAGGAAATAAAAAAGGATAAAAACAAATGGAAGAACATTCCATGCTCATGGGTAGGAAGAATCAATATCTTGAAAATGGCCATACTGCCCAAGGTAATTTACAGATTCAATGCCATCCCCATCAAGCTACCAATGACTTTCTTCACAGAATTGGAAAAAACTACTTTAAAGTTCATATGGAACCAAAAAAGAGCCCACATCGCCAAGTCAATCCTAAGCCAAAAGAACAAAGCTGGAGGCATCACACTACCTGATTTCAAAGTATACTACAAGGCTACAGTAACCAAAACAGCATGGTACTGGTACCAAAACAGAGATATAGATCAATGGAACAGAACAGAGCCCTCAGAAATAATGCCACATATCTACAACTATCTGATCTTTGACAAACCTGAGAAAAACAAGAAATGGGGAAAGGATTCCCTATTTAATAAATGGTGCTGGGAAAACTGGCTAGCCATATGTAAAAAGCTGAAACTGGATCCCTTCCTTACACCTTATACAAAAATCAATTCAAGATGGATTAAAGACTTAAACGTTAGACCTAAAACCATAAAAACCCTAGAAGAAAACCTAGGCATTACCATTCAGGACATAGGCATGGGCAAGGACTTCATGTCTAAAACACCAAAAGCAATGGCAACAAATGCCAAAATTGACAAATGGGATCTTATTAAACTAAAGAACTTCTGCACAGCAAAAGAAACCACCATCAGAGTGAACAGGCAACCTACAAAACGGCAGAAAATTTTCGCAACCTACTCATCTGACAAAGGGCTAATATCCAGAATCTACAATGAACTCAAACAAATTTACAAGAAAAAAACGAACAATCCCATCAAAAAGTGGGCGAAGGACATGAACAGACAGTTCTCAAAAGAAGACATTTATGCAGCCAAAAAACACATGAAAAAATGCTCATCATCACTGGCCATCAGAGAAATGCAAATGAAAACCACAATGAGATACCATCTCACACCAGTTAGAATGGCAATCATTAAAAAGTCAGAAAACAACAGGTGCTGGAGAGGACGTGGAGAAATAGGAACACTTTTACACTGTTGGTGGGACTGTAAACTAGTTCAATCATTGTGGAAGTCAGTGTGGCGATTCCTCAGGGATCTAGAACTGGAAATGCCATTTGACCCAGCCATCCCATTACTGGGTATATACCCAATGGACTATAAATCATGCTGCTATAAAGACACATGCACACGTAGGTTTATTGCGGCATTATTCACAATAGCAAAGACTTGGAACCAACCCAAATGTTCAACAATGATAGACTGGATTAAGAAAATGTGGCACATATATACCATGGAATACTATGCAGCCATAAAAAATGATGAGTTCATGTCCTTTGTAGGGACATGGATGAAATTGGAAATCATCATTCTCAGTAAACTATTGCAAGAACGTAAAGCCAAACACTGCATATTCTCACTCATAGGTGGGAATTGAACAATGAGATCACATGGACACAGGAAGGGGAATAACACACTCTGGGGACTGTTGTGGTGTGGGGGGAGGGGGGAGGGATAGCATTGGGAGATATACCTAATGCTAGATGACGAGTTAGTGGGTGCAGCACACCAGCATGGCAGATGTATACATATGTAACTAACCTGCACAATGTGCACATGTACCCTAAAACTAAAAGTATAATAAAAAATAAAAATAAAAAAATAATAAAAATTTTTTGTCATGATTTTTGGTAAATGAATGACTTACGGTGATGTGGAATTCTATTTCATAACATCAAGTGTTTAAACCTTTAATATATTTAATAGGCTTCCCAAAATCAAATTTCAACTTCAAAATTGTCTTTTCTGACCTCTAATTTTGGGATACTACAGAGACCCCTGAAGCACCCAAAGGAGAGGTAAACAGGACTATTTAACATGTTAAGTCACATGGGTAGCACTGTCAAAATAAAAAATAATGTGGAACCTTCCTCAGGTTATATTTAGTGTGTGTCATCAATCCATTCTAAAATTGTGTAGGATTTCTAAAATTCTTGTATTTTTTTTTTTTCTGAGATGGAGTCTTGCTCTGTCACCCAGGCTGGAGTACAGTGGCGCAATCTCGGCTCACTGCAACTTCCACCTCCCGGGTTCATGCCATTCTCCTGCCTCAGCCTCCCGAGTAGCTGGGACTACAGGCACCCACCACCATGCCAGGCTAATTTTTGTATTTTTAGTAAAGATGGATTTCACCGTGTTAGCCAGGATGGTCACGATCTCCTGACCTCATGATCCTTCCACCTCGGCCTCCCAAAGTGCTGGGATTACAGGCATGAGCCACCACATCCACCCTAATTATGGTTATTAAGTTATTGTAGACCACAGAAATAACCAAATTTCCTTGTCAATTGTCTTTAACTATAACTAAAGTCATTTCACAGTTAATTGCTTAATGGTGATGCAGTTTCTAAAAACTTCACAAGCATGCAAAATTCTAGAGTATGGTGTCTCTTAGAAGATTCATGAAAGAATGAAAATGACCCTGAAAAACACTCGTGAACACAGATTTCTAATAACTTTAATATCATGGGTAAAAATTCCCCATAAGTTCCCCGATACCCCAAGAATTGGACTGGCTAAGAATTCTCAACAGTTAGGCTGGGTGCAGCGGCTCATGTCGGCAATCCCAGCACTTTAGGAGGCCAAGGCCGGTGGATCACTTGAGGTCAGGAGTTTGAGACCAGCCTGGCCAAAGGTGAAACCCCACCTCTACTAAAAATACAAAAATTAGCTGGGTGTGGTGGTATGTGCCTGTAATCCCAGCTACTCGGGAGGCTGTGGCAAGAGAATTGCTTGAGCCCAGGAGGCAGAGGTTGCAGTGAGCCAAGATTGTGCCACTGCACTCCAACCTAGGTAACAGAGTGAGACTCTGTCTCAAAAAAAAAATATCAAAAATTTAATAAAAAGACCAACTGGTTTGTAAAACTGCTAACCCAAGTAAAACAAAAATTGTATACCAAGGAAATATTTTGCCACATTTTCATGCTAAATCACCAATATTGAAATTGTTTAGATATATAATTTAAATAAACTCCATGGTCTAAATCAAATTACCTATAACTACTCATCAGTTACCAGTGCCATGCACCTAATTTGGAGAAACAGCTGGTATTCAAGAGGATGTAAGTCTGATGTTAATTAAGCACAGACCTATGAAGAACCAGGATGGCCACCTTATCCTTCTTAAGTCCTAAAAACTTTTGTTATTAAAAGTTCTGCATTCCATAACTCATCACAGAAAGAGAAAACGATCCAAATTAAATATATTGGTGTGGTGATTTCTAAACTGCTAAAATAGTTTATAACCAATGTTTGGTTTGTGAAACCTATATTCCTAGGAAAACAATCAAAACTTCAGGTACATTTGGTTATCTGATGAGCCATTTAAACATTTTATAAAGGGATTTCATTCAGTTGTCATTTTCAGTGCATGTTTTCTGATTGTATAAAAGCTCTTCCATGCGAGAGAGTTGATGTTAAAACAGTAGATTATTACCCTGAAGTGTATTTTCACCAGGTAAAGAAAGCCTTTTATGGTTCACTGAGGACAGTCAAACCCTTCAAAATCTAGAATCTGATGACTGGATCTTCTGAGAACATCAGAGAAGGACTGCCCTCGCCATCCACATGACAACAAAACTTTAAAACCTTAAACTTTGGGTTCATAGTCTCACAACTCAGAAGGGTCCCTCCACACTCAGAACCATATGCCTATTGGAACCCTTAAGGTAAAGCTAACACGGACAGTTCCCCCCAGAAGAAGATGGCATCCTTAATGTGAACAGCTTTTCCCAAGATCACAGATCAAGACTTCTCTACTATCATGAGACTCTTATCTTAAGTATCTGTGCAGCTGCTAACACTTACAGCATGTGGAGAAAACATGGGGTATTATAAAGATTTGGTTGTAGGGAATTAACAAAAAAAACCACTTAGTTAAGCAAGTAAACCCTTTATCTAATTCATTCTTTAATCTATTTGATTTTTGGTGGTTTGATTTATGGGGACCCTGAGTAAGGAGCATATACCACATCTTGGTGTTATCCCAATAGTCATAAGAGTCTCCCTGGTGTACTGTACTTACTCAAATGTTTCAAGAGTTTGCATGCAGCCATCTCTAAAATGTCAAATGGTATCTCTTCAACTGGAATGACAAGAGATTAAAAAAAATGTGCAACCATAAGGCCACCATAACCTATGAGTGACATGCTAAACTGGAAACCCAAAACAATGGGAGTGACATGCTAAACCAGAAACCCAAAACAATGGGAGTGACTTGCTAAAACTGGAACCCAAAACAATGGGAGTGACGTGCTAAAACCGGAAACGAAAACAATGGGAGTGATGTGCTTAAACTGGAACCCAAAACAATGGGAATGACCTGCAAAACCAGAAACCCAAACAGTGGGAGTGAGGTGCTAAAACCAGAACCCAAAACAACGGGAGTGATGTGCTTAAACCAGAACCGAAAACAATGGGAGTGACCTGCTAAACCAGAAATCCAAAACAATGGGAGTGATGTGCTAAAACCGGAACCCAAAACAATGGGAGTGATGTGCTTAAACCAGAACCCAAAACAATGGTAGTGACCTGCTAAAGCAGAAACCCAAAACAATGGGAGTGTCCTGCTAAACCAGAAACCCAAAACAATGGGAGTGACGTGTAAAACCAGAAACCCAAAACAATGGGAGCGTCCTGCTAAACCAGAAACCCAAAACAATGAGAGTGACATGATAAACCAGAAACCCAAAACAATGGGAGTGACGTGCTAAAACCTGGAAACCCAAAACAATGGGAGTGAGGTGCTAAAACCAGATACACAAAACAATGGGAGTGACATGCTAAAACCAGATACCCAAAACAATGGGAGTGATGTGCTAAAACCTGAACCCAAAACAATGGGAATGACGTGCTAAACCGGAACCCAAAACAATGGGAGTGACGTGCTAAAACCGGAACCCAAAACAATGGGAGTGACATGCTAAAACCAGAAACCCAAAACAATGGGAGGGTCCTGCTAAACCAGAAACCCAAAACAATGGGAGTGAAGTGCTAAAACCAGAAACCCAAAACAATGGGAGGGTCCTGCTACACCAGAAACCCAAAACGATGGGAGTGACGTGATAAAACCAGACACCCAAAACAATGGGAGTGACGTGCTAAACCAGAAACCCAAAACAATGGGAGTGAGGTGCTAAAACCAGAACCCAAAACAATGTGAGTGACGTGCTAAACCAGAACCCAAAACAATGGGAGTGACGTGCTAAAACAGGAACCCAAAACAATGAGAGTGACGTGCTAAACCAGAAACCCAAAACAATGGGAATGACGTGCTAAAACCGGAACCCAAAACAATGGGAGTGATGTGCTAAACCAGAAACCCAAAACAATGGGAATGACATGCTAAAACTGGAACCCAAAACAATGGTAACTAAGAGTGATGCTAAGGCCCTACATTTTGGTCACACTCTCAACTAAGTGAGAACTTGACTGAAAAGGAGGATTTTTTTTTTCTAAGACAGAGTTTTGGTCTGTCCCCCAGAGTGGAGTGCAGTGGCATGATCTCGGCTCACTGCAAGCTCTGCCTCCCGGGTTCAGGCCATTCTCCTGCCTCAGCCTCCTGAGTAGCTGGGAATACAGGCACCCGCCACCACACTTGGCTAATTTTTTGTATTTTTAGTAGAGATGGGGTTTCACCATATTAGCAAGGATGGTCTCAATCTCCTGACCTCGTGATCTGCCCACCTCAGGCTCCCAAAGTGCTGGGATTACAGGTGTGAGCCACCACACCCAGCAAAAAGGAGGAATTTTTAAAGCAAAATTATGGGAGGCCATTGTTTTGAACTAAGCTCATGCAATAGGTCCCAACAGACCAAACCAAACCAAACCAAAATGGAGTCACTCATGCTAAATGTAACATAATCAAACTAAGACTTTAGGGAAACACATAAATCCTAGAACAAACCAGGTTTTGTTTTTCTCCTGTAAACAGGATGTTCCAGCATAAGAAGATACCTTCTACTCAAGTCCTTGTTCCACCTTTTCAAATCTCACTGGTCTATTTCCCAGTGGGTTTCTAAACCAAGTAAGTACATTTGCAATGGTAATAGTGACACCAGTGACTGAAGTTTCGGCCAATCTCTCAAAATTGAGAAAATAACCAAAGGGAAGGCATTGTTAAAGTGAACTAAGTATGGCCTGAGAAGGACTCCATAATTCTATATATGAGTCCTTGTGGGTGAACTGCAACCTACCTTAATAGGTATACAAGAATGAAAAACTAACTTAAGAGTATGCACCTGGAACAACAGCTACATCTTGGCCAATCCCAATGGCCAAACTTCAACCACTCAGGCACTGCCAAATGTTCAAAATGTGTTCAAACAAGGCAAACGCTGAGTTGTTTCTGTACCTCACTTCCGATTTCGGTATGCCACTTCCCTTTTGTCTATAAATCTTCTTCCACCACATGACTGCACTGGAGTCTCTGTGAATCTGCTGTGATTCTGGGGACTGTCCGATTCATGAATCGTTTATTGCTAAATTAAACTCCTTTAAAGTTTTTCTTTTAACAGAACTAACACAGAAGAATTTCCAGATCATGAACAGACTTTTTGTAATACCCAACGTTGTATTAACATGAATAGACTCTTCCTTAGACAGCTAACCTTGTTTTTAATATGAATAGACTCTCCCTTAGCTGAGAAAACCAGACAAACTCCATTTGGCTCCTTCATTAACAAGACATCAAGGACTCCTTACCCACCCCCTTTCCTCAAGGACTTTAACTTGTGCAAGCTGATTTTCAACATATCAAAGCGTGCAATTAACTGATAAAGTGCTGAGACAAGAGATGTCCCCAGTTCCCAGCAATTTACTCAGAGATAGTATCATAAAGCCCCCACATTTGTCCGGCAGATAATGCCCAGAGCCCCCTCACCTATCACTTTGTGGTGAATTTAAAGACCCTACACCAGGAACAGTTTGTTTTCCTGTAACCATCTGTCTTTCTAAGTTTTTTGTCTGTTTTTTTCTTCTGTAAAGTTGCTGCAGCTAGAATCCCCCATCCCCTCTCTAAACCAAAGTATAAAAGAAAATCTAGTCCCTTCTTCGGGGCCGAGAGAATTTCGTGCGTTAGCCATGTCTCAGTCGCTGGCTAGTAAAGGACTCCTGAATTCGTCTCAATGCGTGGCATTTCTCTCTAACTCACTCGGGTACGACAGTTTCAACTATGGTAGAAGACTCGAGTAAGGCAAATACAGTCCCCCTAAATTTGACTATTATTCAGGTTAATGGTGAGTTTAGAAGAAATAAGGCTACACAGAGTGGGCTAAAGTGCAAATAAACACTGGAAATATTTCCCAGAAAATATGACTTTGAACAGGCTGCTGCACACCCTGCATGTAGAGATAAACTAAGAAAAACGTGTGGAGAGTTATTTAAGGACCTATGGTTAACTCAGTCCTCAAGATGTTCCAGGTTTCATCCATGAATCAAGGAGGACCTCCCAAAGGCTGTTTGGGACCACACTCTTTGAGCAAGGAGCATACATTACGATGGAAGCTGTGCTTTAGCAGCAGATGACCATTTCCGCTGCACAACACGCCGTGCTTTAGCGGAAGATGACCGTTTCCACTGCACAACACTACAAGTGTTTACTGCCAGGCCGGTGTGAAATATGTTCCAGCACATAATCTATGTCACCAATGAAGGTGGTGGTTCAGACTTGGTGCACGCAAGCTTTCCTGTCCCACAAGAACACAGCATGCTCTCTTCTCAGGTTCCATTCCAATCACATAACAAACATGACTGCCTTTTTTGTCTCGGCATCAGAAAGATCAGAGGAAAATTTGCACTCAACTTAGACAACTCTAAGCTCTTATAACCTGCCTATATCTACAGGTCAGCTTTATCTTATTTATGTATATTTCCTTCAACCTGAGTTTTACTTATTTCTACTTTTCCTTTTTAATTCACAGACACCCATAAACTCAGAAAATACAGTGTAAAACAAAGTGAAGAACAAATAAACAACTCACCAGAGATTTATTCGTTTCTTGTTGCTCTTGGAAACACCCAGAGGACACTGGAAACATAGCTGGGATAGAAGGCAAATGACGTGGATTAAGGAGAGAACTGGTGTGGTGTGGTCCCAGATTCTTCTGCCCAACACTCTAGACACATTACCTGGGAAAGCCCTCCTCCCTCCTGAAAAAGAAAAACTTCCCCAGGGGAGAAGAGTCCTTCACACCTCATTAGGGGCAGCAAAGACTCAAGTTAAGATAAGATACATCTACAAGTACATTAATTGGTAGACATTAGATGCACAATTTATTTTTGAATAAAAATATATATTACCTACTAATTTAGTAACAATATTATCTAAAGATATAATCTAATAATTTAATACAAAGAAACATTATAAGTTCACTAAAGTAAATGTTATAGTAATATACTGGGCTGTATTAACTATTTTCCTATTAATATGTAGATTCCACAAATAACTTCATATGAGTGTTCCCATGACAGTACATCTTGCTTTTCTATACCTGAACATCATGGAAAGTGCATCTTGCAAACCAGCAATTTTGGCCTACAATTACGTTTTTTAAAATGTACATAATATGTATTTCCTGCAGTACACCATTCTACTCATGTTTCCCAATAACACCTTTCCTTCTATCCAAGCCCTCATATTATGCTCTGACAATAAATTGGGCTTTTCCATCTGACTTGTCCAGTGAATGGAAAATGGAAAATGTGATGCAAATATCCATTGGTTCTTTCCTTTTTGGGGGAAATTGTGAAGAGGTCTGGAGCTACCCTGTTGGAGACACAGGGCCTAGCCAAGAGTCACCACAAACCACCAGATTGTGAAGGAAACTATCTTAAACCAACCAGGCTCAGTCAAGGCACCAGGTGACTGAGGCCTTTTTGTGATCCAGGCAACACAAATATATTAACTACCCAGCTGAACCCACCACACCAAAGTGCAGATCCACAGAACTTCAAACAAATAAAATGGTGGTTGTTTTTTATAAGCCAGTAAGGTTTAATTAGTTCCTTAAACAGCAAGTATTAACTGTTACACCTAAGTGAACAGAATTCACTTCTGTGTTTTTAACAAAATTACGTAGGGGGAGAAAATCTTAAATTACAAATCAAATACAATCAATAGAACTTCGCAATCTAATGTTAAATTTGGGGATGGACTAGGTTTAATATATCTCAGACGCTGGAAAAAACGAGCTAAGGTTGAAGGAATGGGACTGTGTTTGGAGAGTATTTTAATCCTCTCAAGTATGACAGGTCACTGCTGTACCCCAGACCACACTTTCAGGCCCCTTCAAATAAGGAATATTTCCTAAGTCCTTGCCTGTTCTTCTTAGCTGAATTCACCTCAACCTTCTGAAAGTTCGTCCAAACCTTCTACTATCACCTAGTCTTTGCAAATCGTGTGCATTCTAGGGAGTAGAATTAATATTTCCTGAGCAAGGAAAACTGGGATCTTCACCTGTGACCTTTTTTCCTCCTCTGAAGCACCAGTGAGAGGTTAGACCAGATGGCTGTTCTTTCAAGTGTGCTTCTTATTCATAGGGAACCCTCCCTTTCAAACTTTGTAACACACAGTTAAGACTGAAGTATCCTTAAGGCTGACGACCATCATCCATTAAGCCATCTCCCTCGCGGAATCAGTGAGTTCTTCCCTGGAAACTAGGTCTCGTATAAACTTCTGTAAATGCGACCCAGGAGGACTAGGCAGGTCACACAGTGAAGGAGGGAACCAGAAACTTCACTTGCTAAAGAGACACCAGGAAACCCAACTAATACAAACGCCAAGTTTAAGACTAGAGGCGCACGCGTTTCACACTACTCCTCTGGGAATGGGGAACGTCTCCCGAGAACTGTGTGTTACCACTGGGACAGATGGGCAAACTGAGCGTCATGCAGGTTGGTAACCGGGTCCCTCAGCGGCAGGACAGGAGCTTGGCCTGCAGACTCCGGGCCCAGGGCCACCGGCCTCTCCTACCTGCTCCTGCGCCTCTAGAACCCGTTTCACTGCCGGGACCCCACGCCTGTCCTCCCAGCCCCCGCCAGGGTCCACTGCCCGCACCTGCACTTCAGGCCCTGCCCGCCCGCAATGTGCCCACGCGTCTGCTCCCACAACTAGGGAACACTGGTCCGGCCCCCCGGGATCCCCTGAGGCCCACGGGTTCCTCTTCGCCCTTGCACCGACCCGCAGGGACATAGAACCAAGCCCCAAGCCGGCCCGGCTACAGGACCGCCTCTGGGTGCCGCACTTCCGGAGGAAAATGGCGGAGTGGGCCGGGCGGCGCAAGCGCAGAGAGAAAAGCTGGTTCCCAAGGTCCTTGATGGTAACATCATTGGAAGGTGACACTACAATTCCCATGAGGCTTTGCGGTACCCCGTTAGGAACCCAAGCCGGACATTCTGTTTTGCCCAGCAGTTGAGTCCAGTTACCCAGAGACCCGGACTTAATGGATCAGGACTGGTCCCTACCCAGGTGACACAGATGTGGCATTCTGGTTCTTTATTAAATCCTGGTTTCACAGCCTGGGACATTGTGAAAATAATGGAGAAATTTCAATAGAGGCCAATTGGTCTATGCTATGAATAAGTTTTTTTTTTTTTTTTTTTTTTTTTGAGAAGGAGTCTCACTCTGTCGCCCAGGCTGGAGTGCAATGGTGCGATCTCGGCTCACTGCAACCTCCGCTTCCCGGGTTCAAGCGATTCTCCTGCCTCAGCCTCCTAAGTACCTGGGATTACAGGCGCGTGCCACCACACTCGCCTAATTTTTGTATTTTTAGTAGAGACGGGTTTTCACCATGTTAGTCAGGCTGGTCTCCAACTCCTGACCTCGTTATCCGCCCTCCTCGGCCTCCCAAGGTGCTGGGATTACAAGCGTGAGCCACTGCGCCCAGCCCTCAAGTCTATTTTTTATAGATGCATTCGAAAGCATGAAAAAATAATGTCTCTATTTTACTTTAAAAATTTTAAAACACAACTAATGAATATGGTAATTCTCTTCCAATCCGTTATCTTTTCTCTCACTAAACTAATTTGTGAGCCTTCAATTTACACTGTTAGAAAATATGCTCTAGTGCACATACTAGGATAAAATAACAGGGTCATAAGACAGGTGCACTCCATAATCTTTGTGACAACTTACACTTCCAGTGTCTGATAAATATTTGCCCGTAGACTCCCAGGTTTCATCCATCCATCCATCAATCAAATCTACCTATCTTTATTTATTTATTGTGAGAAAGACCTGAAATTTGCCTTTCCTTCCCTGATGTCTGCCACAAACTAGGCAAGGAGTTCTGCCTAGGGGTTTCTCAGAGCTCCGGCTACCACCGAGGTTCCTAACAGGGAAACGCAGGCTTGAATGCTCAGGGTTGATGTGGGAGTGCGTGTGAAACGGGGATGGGGTGAAAGGGCAGTGACGTTTGTAGGTGGGCAGATGGGGGTGTGATGGGCTTTCAGGTAAGAGGCACGCAGGAACCTGGGAGAGGCAGCGAAAGCACCTCACGCCTCAGATCACCAGAAGACGCTCCCACCAGTGCCATGACAGTTTGCCAATGCCATGTCATCACGAGAAGTCCCCACCCCTTGCCATGGAAACAGATGGAAGTTACTGCCCATTTCTAGCTATTTCTGAATAACCCGCCCCTTAATTAGCATGCCATTAAAAGTGAATTATAAAAATGACTACAAGCCACCCCTAGGCTGCTGCTCTGGGAGCACAACCCACGGAGGGCTCCCTGCCCTGCCGGAGTGGACGCAGTGCTGTAACACCGCCAATGCCTCCGTAGAGCTGCTTTCTTCCACCACAGGCTTGCTTTTGGATTTCTTCCTAAACGACGCCAAGAACCTGCCCTTCCTCAGTGTGACTCTTGCCTAAAACCTATCCCTGGTATTCTCTTTTCCTAAGCATGCCCTGACTTGTTCTTTCATCTCCTCTGATCTTGCAATTGGTCCTCAGTGACTCTATTCTGCAGATCCAGAAAACTCAACCTTAATCTTCCCAGAGCCCTGTTGTCTCCAATATTGGAATCTCTAGCCTTGTTTTCTCAGACGCCTAGATTACAGGCCTCTCTCTTGAACACCTATTGGTATGGTATCTGGGGATCCTTTAAATACATGATGATTGGCAGGGGTTAAATAGCGGAAATCAGTGCCTGACAATTCGCCTTCCAGGATATGGACTGTCATTCCCTCTCTTGGTGGGCCTCAGTCTCTTATCCATAAAAGTAGAGATTGTAATACTCATTTGAATTGCAGATACCTCAACCCGAACCCACCTAAGATAATGTAAAAGCCAAGAATGCAACCCCTTTCCTCACCCCGTGAAGGTAAAGCCCTCAGAGCCAAGGAGAGAAGGCTCAGGGATGGTATCTGGGTGTTTCCAACGCTAACCATGTATTGTAGTTTTTAGTGTTCAAGTTTAAGCTTCCCCAGCTTTAATTCTATTGTAACAAGATTTATTTTTTTAATTCCATTTTTGGATTCTTGATTTATTGGTAAAGAAATACAGTTATTTTTGTATACCAATCTTATATAGTGTTACATTCTTAAGTTTGTTCATGAGTCCTAATACTTTTTAGTAAATTTCTTACGATTTTCTAAATGCAAGATCATGTCATCTGTACATAAAGATAACTGTACTTCTTCCTTTCCAATCTAGATGTTGTTTATTTATTTACATTGCCAACTTGTCCCAGCTACCACTGTTATCAAGTAAAAGGGTCTCACTGCCCAAAGCACAAGAAGCCGGTACCATGACACTGAGTTTTCGAGAAAAGAAAAAGTTTAAAGTCAAACCAAAACCTAGGGTACAGGCCGGGCGCACTCGGTGAAACCCCGTCTCTACTAAAAATACAAAAAACAAAAATTAGCCGGGCGTGAAGGCAGGCGCCTGTAGTCCCAGCTACTCGGGAGGCTGAGGCGGGAGAATGGCGTGAACCTGGGAGGCGGAGCTTGCAGTCAGCCGAGATCGCGTCACTGCACTCCAGCCTGGGCAACAGAGCGAGACTCCGTCTCAAAAAAAAAAAAAAAAAAAAAAAAAAAAAAAAAAAAAAAAAAAACCTATGGGATACAGTAAAAACAGTACTACAGTACTAAGAGGTAAGTTTATAGATAAAAGCACCTACATCAAAAAAAGTAGAAAAGCTTCAAATAAACAACCTAATAATGCATCTTAAATAATTAGAAAAGCAAGAGCAAGCCAAAACCAAAATTACTAGAAGGAAACATAGCAAAGATCGGAGCAGAAATAAATGAAATTGAAATTTAAAAATATAAAATATCAATGAAATGAAAAGTTAATATTTTTAAAAGACCAACAAAATCAACAAACACTTAACCAGACTAAGAAAAAAGAGAGAAGATTCAAATACATAAAACCAGAGATTAAAAAGGAGACACTATAACTGATGCTGTGGAAATTCAAAGAATCATTAGAAACTATTATGACCAACTATATTCCAATAAATTGAAAAACCTGGAAGAAATGGCTGGGCACCGTGGCTCATGCCTGTAATCCCAACACTTTGGGAAGCCAAGGCAGGTGATCACCTGAGGTCAGTAGTTCAAGACCAGCCTGGTCAACATGGTGAAACCCCATCTCTACTAAAAATACAAAAATTAGCCAGGCATGGTGGCATGCACCTGTACTTCCAGCTACTCTAGAGGCTGAGGCAGGAAAATCACTTGAACCTGGGAGGCAGAGGTTGCAGTGAGCTGAGATTGTACCACGCTGCAGTCTGGGTGACAGAGCAAGATTCCATCTCAAAAAAAAAAAAAAAAAACCTAGAAGAAATGGATAAATGAAATTGAAGCCGTAATAAAACATGTCCTAGCAAAGAAAAGCCTGGATTCAATGGCTTCACTGGCTTCACTGATTAATTTTACCAAACATTGAAGGCAGAATTACTATCAATCCTACTCAAACTATTCCAAAAAAACAGAGAAGGCTGTAGTATTTCCAAACTCATCCTATGAAAAAGACCATTCATCATGTCTAAGTGGGATTTATCCCAAGGATGCCAACATGGTTCAATGTATGCAAATCAATCAATGTGACACATCATATCAACAGAATGAAGGACAAAAACCATATGATAATTTCAATTGATGCTGAAAAGCATTTAATAAAATTCAACATCCCTGTGATAAAAAGAAACCCTCAAAAAAAACTAGATATAGAAGGAACATACCACAACACAATGAAAACCATATGCAACAGACCCACAGCCAGTATCATCCTGGACAGGGAAAAGCTGAAAGCCTTTCTTCTAAGATCTGGAACAAGACAAGAATGTCCACTTCCAACACTGTTACTCAACATAGTACTGGAAGTCCTAGCTAGAGCAATTCAGACAAGAGAAAAACAATAAAAGGGATCCAAATTGGAAAGAAGTAAAATTATTACTGTTTCTTGTTTGCAGATGATTAGCTCTTATATTTGGAAAAACCTAAGGACTCCACCAAAAAACTATTAGAACTGATCAACAAATTCAGAGTCACAGCATACAAAATCAAACTACAAAAGTCAGTAGCATTTCTAAATGACAAAAATGAACAATCTAAAGAAGAAAATCAAGAATGTAATCCCATTTACAATAGCTACAAATAAAATAAAATAACTGGGAATAAACATAACAGAAGAAGTGAAAGATCTCTACAATGAAAACTATAAAACATAGATGCAAAAAAATTAAAGAGGACACCAAAAAAAAAAATGGAAAGATAGTCCATGTTCATTTATTGGAAGAGTAAATATTGTTAAAATACCCATACTTCACAAAGCAATCTACAGATTCAATGCAATCCCTATTGAAATACTAATAACTTTCTTCACAGAAACAGAAAAAAAATCCTAAAATTTACATGAAACCATAAAAGACCCAGAATACCAAAAGCCAACCTGAGCAAAAAGAACAAAACTGGAAGAATCACATCACCTGACTTTAAATTATAGTACAGAGCAATTATAAACAAAACAGCATGGTACTGGCATAAAACAGACACATAGACCAATGGAACAGAATAGAGAACCCAGAAATAAATCCATACATTTACAATTAACTCATTTTCAATGAAGGTGCCAAGAATATACATGGGGGAGAGGACAGTCTCTTCAACAAATTGTGCTGGGAAAACTAGATATTCATTGGCAGATTTTTTTTTTTTTTTTGAGATGGAGTCTAGCTCTGTTGCTCAGGCTGGAGTGCAGTGGCGCGATCTGGGCTCACTGCAAGCTCCACCTCCCGGGTTCACACCATTCTCCTCCTCAGCCTCCCAAGTAGCTGGGAGTACAGGTGCCCACCACCACGCCTGGCTAATTTTTTTTTTGTACTTTTAGTAGTGACGGAGTTTCACCGTGTTAGCCAGGATGGTCTCGATCTCCTGCCCCCATGATCCGCCCACCTTGGCCTCCCAAAGTCATTGGCAGAATAGTTAAACTAGAACCCTCTCTTGCACTATATACAAAAATCAAATCCAAATGGGTTAAAGACTTAAATCAAAGACACGAAACTACTGAAAGAAAACATTAGGGAAACTCTCCAGGAAATTGGTCTTGGCACAGATTTCTTGAGTAATACTCCAAAAGCTCAGGCAACCAAAGCAAAAATGAACAAGTGGTATCACATCAAGTTCAAAAGTTTCTGCACAGTAAAGAAAACAATGGACAAAGTGAAAAGACAATCCACAGAATGGAAGAAAATATTTGCAAACTATATAACTGACAAGGGATTAATAACCAGAATATATAAGGAGCTCAAACAACTCTACAAGAAAAAAACTAACAATCCAATTATTTAAATAGGCAAAAGATCTGAACAGACAGTTCTCAAAAGAAGGCACACAGGTCAGGCGCAGTGGCTGACACAAGTAATTCCAGAACTTTGGGGAGCCAAGACGGGTGGGCCACTTGAGCCCAGGAGTTCAAGACCAACCTGAACAACATAGCAAATAATTTTAAAAACTACCTGGGCATGGTGATGCATGACTGTGGTCCCAGCTACTCAGGAGGCTGAGGTGGGAGGATTGCTTGAACCCTGGCAGTCAACACTACATTAAGCCATGATCATACCACTGCACTCCAGCCTGGGTGACAGAGTGAGACCCTGTCTCAAAAAATGAGCAAAAACAAAAAAGAACATATATAAATGGCAAATAGGTATATGAAAAGATGCTCAATATCATTGATCATGACAGAAATTAAAATCAAAACTACAAAAATATATCATCTTACCCCATTAAAATGGCTTTTATGCAAAAGACAGGCAATAACAAATGCTTTCAAGAATTTGGGGAAAAGGGAACACTCTTACTCTGTTAGTGGGAATGTAAATTAATATATTCACTATGGAGAACAATATGGAGGTCCCTCAAAAAATTAAAAATAGAACTATCATATGATCCAGCAATCCCACTGCTGGGTATATACCCAAGAGAGGGAAAATTAGTATATCAAAGAGATATCTGCATTCCCATATTTATTTCAGCACTATTCATAATAGCCAAGATTTGGAAGCAACCTAAGTGTGCATCAACAGATGAAGGGATAAAGAAAATGTAGTACATATACACAATGGAGTACTCTTCGGCCATGAAAAAGAATAAGATTCTGTCATTTGCAACAACATGGATGGAACTAGAGGACAATTATGTTAAGTACAATGAGCCAGGCACAGAAAGACAGACTTCGCATGTTCTCACTCATTTGTGGGAGCTAAAAATTAAAACAATTGAACTCATCAAGATAGAGAGTAGACTGAGAGTTTCCAGAGGCTGGGAAGAGTAGCGGTGTTATGGGATCTTTGGGGTGTTACTTTTCTGGACAGAAACCTCTATGACTGGTGGCACCTTTGCCTGAGTTTTGCTGGGCCCCGCACACTCAGCCTGGCAGGCTGTGCTCTGCTCATGCTACCACGTTGGATCCCATGCCTGCCAAGGGAGACTGCATGGAGTGGCAAGGGGTGTGTGAGTGAGCATGGGGTCTGGCCACTGTGCAGTCAGATTTGCTGGCTGCTGAAGTGGAGCAGGTAGCTCCAGGTGCCAACACGGGCGCCAGCTCTCCACAAGGCTGTGGCTGGACCACGGGCACCTCAAGAAGCTTCCACAGCTGGCACACTGGGAACACAGTGGCACCCAGAAGCTTGGAGATATCAGGAACCAAAGGCCCCAAAGAAGGAATCACAGCTCTGGCTCGGGGAGCTCCCAGGTCTGGGCTCCCCAAAGGGCCATAGCTCTTCTTTCCTTCTCTTTGCCCACAATGTGGCGAGCAAGGGGCATGTCTCAGCCCTGTTTGTGTTACAGCTCTTTCAGCCTCTTCCCTAGGATTTGTCATAATTAATTCCCATATCGTCTTATTTTTTTACACGTGTTTCAACTTCAGAAGATGTATGGATCTAAACACAACATGAAGTGTTAGCTAGCTGCCATATGAGTTTCTCCCTGTTTCACCACTATGTAGCCTAAAGTTATTCCGTCATCCATGACTATCCTGGCTAAAGAGTCTGAAGATCTTTATTTGGTAGCTATGGCTTCAGCTGGTTCATTTGCTAAGTTACCTAGAGTGGTTGACAGATTTCTAATTATACGTTCATGAGAGGTTACTCCCCACCATTGCAAGAGATTTCTGCCAAACATAGGCCAAAATTCATCTCCTTGGTTTGCAGGTACGGTTTGTCTAATCCTGGAAAATAATTTCGATGAACTACTTCAGCGTTCAGAAACATTGGAGTTATAAATAGGAAGAGGAAGAGCCACATAACCTAATAGACAATTACCTCTCATATGCCAGCGGTCAACACATTCATAAGCCCATGTGTGCTTGATCCAGGGACCACACAGGGTCCCTGACGGATTCTGAAATTTAAGGCTTTGGTTTACTGGTAACAGAGACAGGTTAAAGTACATGTCTTCAGTCTTGAGTAGAGTGCAATCAGTCTGATTTCTTTTTTTTTTTAATGAGACAAACATCAGGTAAAGACCTTGACAAGAAGGAAGATAAATCCCGAGATTCTATAATCATAATAATCGAATTGTAATTGCTAGTTTAAGTAGTCCTACAAAAATACATCTCATTACTGACAGGATAAAACAAGTTTTTTAAAAATATATTTTATCTGGGTTCACTAGGGAACACTTGGAGCCAGGAAATAATTCAGGATTCAGCCCAAATTATAGGCAAATAATAAAAACTCGGAAAAGAATGATCAGGGCTGGAATCTAATAGCATATGTCACAGTTTTCATTTGAAACATGAATTTTCTCTCTCTAGTCCATCATTTTATCAAAGACAAACCATAGTAGGACAAATTTCTGTGCAAAATAAGTTTTAGTCTTATCATACCTGGTCTGATTATTTGCATAAAGTGCAGCAAGAATATTTATTGACCATATAGGCTTCTTAAAATTGGCTTTGTTGGAACTTTCTAATAAGGAATCTTAGACTTTTAAAAGCCTTGAGGCTAGCCAAGTCAAAGATTTGCATCATACTGTGTCTGTAATACTTTTTTTTAACCTACGTTTTTATTATACTTTAAGTTGTGGGGTACACGTGCAGAATGCTGAGGTTTGTTACATAGGTATACATGTGCTGTGGTGGTTTGCTGCACCCATCAACCCATCACCTATATTAGGTATTTGTCCTAATGCTATCCCTCCCCCCGCCCCCAACCCCCAACATGCCCCAGTGTGTGATGTTCCCCTCCCTGTGTGCTTGTGTTCTCGTTGTTCAACTCCCACTTATGAGTGAGAACATGTGGTGTTTTGTTTTCTATTCTTGTGTTAGTTTGCTGAGAATGAAGGTTTCCAGCTTCATCCATGTCCCTACAAAGGACATGAACTCATCCTTTTTTATGGCTGCATAGTATTCCATGGTGTATATGTGCCACATTTTCTTTATCCAGTCTATAATTGATGGGCATTTGGGTTGGTTCCAAGTCTTTGTTATTGTGAACAGTCCTGCAATAAACATACGTGTGCATGTGTCTTTATGGTAGAATGATTTATAATCCTTTGGGTATATACCCAGTAATGGGATTGCTGGGCCAAATGGCATTTCTAGTTCTAGATCCTTGAGGAATAGCCACACTGTCTTCCACAATGGTTGAACTAATTTACACTCCCACCAACAGTGTAAAAGCAATCCTATTTCTCCACATCCTCTCCAGTATCTTTTGTTTCCTGACTTTTTAATGATTGCCATTCTAACTGGCATGAGATGGCATCTCATTGTGGTTTTGATTTGTATTTCTCTAATGACTAGTAATGATGAGCTTTTTTTCATATGTTTCTTGGTTGCATAATTGTCCTCTTTTAAGAAGTGTCTGTTCACATCCTTTGCCCACTTTTTGATGGGATTGTTCTTTCTTGTAAATTTGTTTAAGTTCTTTGTAGATTCTGGATATTAGGTCTTTGTCAGATGGATAGATTGCAAAAATTTTCTCCCATTTCGTAGGTTGCCCTTTCACTCTCATAGTTTCTTTTGCTGTCCAGAAACTCTTTAGTTTAATTAGGTCCCATTTGTCAATTTTGGTTTTTGTTGCCATTGTTTTTGGTGTTTTAGTCATGAAGTCTTTGCCCATGCCTATGTCCTGAATGGTATTGCCTAGGTTTTCCTCTAGGGTTTTTACGGCTTTAGGTATTAGGTTTAAGTCTTTAATTCATCTTGAGTTAATTTTTATATAAGGTGTAAGGAAGGGATCCAGTTTCAGCTTTCTGCCTAAGGCTAGCCAGTTTTCCCAACACCATTTATTAAATAGGGAATCCTTTCCTCAGTGCTTGTTTTTCTCAGGTTTGTCAAAGATCAGATGGTTGTAGATATGTGGTGTTATTTCTGAGGGTTCGGTTCTGTTCCTTTGATCTATATATCTGTTTTGGTACCAGTACCATGCTCTTTTGTTTATCATAGCCTTGTAGTATAGTTTGAAGTCAGGTAGCATGATGCTTGAAGCTTTGTTCTTTTTGCTTAGGATTGTCTTGGCTATTCGGGCTCTTTTTTGATTCCATATGGAATTTAAAATATATTTTTCCAATTCTGTGGAGAAAGTCAATAGAGTTTAATGGGGATAGCAGTGAATCTATAAATTACTTTGGGTAGTATGGCCATTTTCACGATATTGATTCTTCCTATTGATGAGCATGGAATATTTTTCCATTTGTTTGTGTCCTCTCTTGTTTCCTTGAGGAGTGGTTTATAGTTCTCCTTGAAGAGGTCCTTCACATCCTTGTAAGTTGTATTCCTAGGTATTTCATTCTTGTTGTAGCAATGGAGAATGGGAGTTCACTTATAGTTTGGCTCTCTGTTTGTCTGTTATTGGTGTATAAGAAAGCTTGTGATTTTTGCACATTAATTTTGTATCCTGAAACTTTGCTGAAGTTGCTTATCAGCTTAAGGAGATTTTGGGCTGAGACGATGGGGTTTTCTAAATATATAATCATGTCATCTGCAAACAGAGACAATTTGACTTCTTCTTTTCCTAATTGAACACCCTGTATTTCTTTCTCTTGCCTGATTACCCTGGCCAGAACTTCCAACACTATGTGGAATAGGAGTAGTGAGAGAGGGCATCCTTGTCTTGTGCTGATTTTCAAAGGGAATGCTTCCAGTTTTTGCACATTCAGTATGTTATTGGCTGTGGGTTTGCCATAAATAGCACTTAATATTTTGAGATACGTTCCATCAATACCAGTTTATTGAGAATTTTTAGCATGAAGGGCTGTTGAATTTTGTCAAAGGCCTTTTCTGCATCTATTGAGATAATCATGTAGTTTTTGTCATTGATTCCGTTTATGTGAGGGATTACATTTATTGATTTGCATGTTGAACCAGCCTTGCATCCCAGGGATGAAGCCAACTTGGTCATGGTGGACAAGCTTTTTGATGTGCTGCTGGATTCAGTTTTCCAGTATTTTATTCAGGATTTCTGTATTGATGTTCATCAGGGATATTGGCCTAAAATTTCCTTTTTTTGTTGTGTTGGCCTCATAAAATGAGTTAGGGAGGATTCTCTTTTTCTATTGTTTGGAATAGTTTCAGAAGGAATGGTACCAGCTCCTCTTTGTACCTCTGGTAGAATTTGGCTGTGAATTCGTCTGGTCCTGGACTTTTTTTGGTTGGTAGGCTATTGATTAATGCCTCAATTTCAGAACTTGTTATTGGTCTATTCAGGAATTTGACTTCTTCCTGGTTTAGTCTTTGTAGTATTCTCTGATGATAATTTGTATTTCTGTGGGATCAGTGGTGATATCCCCTTAATCATTTTTTATTGCATCTATTTGATTCTTCTGTCTTTTCTTCTTTATTAGTCTGGCTAGTGGTCTGTTTTGTTGATCTTTTCGAAAAACCAGCTCCTGGATTCATTGATGTTTTGAAGGGTTTTTCATGTCTCTATCTCATTCAATTCTGCTCTGATCTTATTTATGTCTTGTCATCTCCTAGCTTTTGAATTTGTTTGTTCTTTCTTCTCTAGTTCTTTTAATTTTGATGTTAAGGTGTCAATTTTAGATCTTTCCTGCTTTCTCTTGTGGGCATTTAGTGCTATAAATTTCCCTCTACACACTGCTTTAAATGTGTCCCAGAGATTCTGGTACGTTGTGTCTTTGTTCTCATTGGTTTTGAAGAACATCTTTATTTCTGCCTTCATTTCGTTATTTACCCAGTAGTCATTCAGGAGCAGGTTGCCCAGTTTCCATGTAGTTGTGAGGTTTTGAGTGAGTTTCTTAATCCTGCATACTAATTTGAATGCATTGTGGTCTGAGAGACTGTTTGTTATGATTTCCATTCTTTTGCATTTCCTGAGGAGTGTTTTACTTCCAATTATGTGGTCAATTTTAGAATAAGTACAATGCGGTTCTGAGAAGAAGGTACATTCTGTTGATTTGGGGTGGAGAGTTCTGTAGATATCTTTTAGGTCCACTTGGTCCAGAGCTGAGTTCAAGTCCTGGATATTCTTGTTAATTTTCTGTCTCATCTATCTAATATTGACAGTGGAGTGTTAAAGTCTCCCACTATTATTGTGTGGGAGCCTAAGTCTCTTTGTAGGTCTTTAAGAACTTGCTTTATGAATCTGAGTGCTCCTGTATTGGGTGCATATATGTCTAGGATAGTTAGCTCTTCTTGTTGCATTGATCCCTTTACCATTATGTAATGCCCTTCTTTGTCTCTTTTTATCTTTGTTGGCTTAAGATCTGTTTTATCAGAAACTAGGATTGCAACCCCTGCCTTTTGTTGCTTTCCACTTGCTTGGTAAATGTTTCTTCATCCCTTTATTTTGAGCCTATGTGTATGAGATGGGTCTCCTGAATACAACACATTGATGGGTCTTGACTCTTTATCCAATTTGCCAGACTGTGTCTTTCAACTGGGGACATTTAGCTCATTTACATTTAAGGTTAATATTGTTATGTGTGAATTTGATCCTGTCATTATGATACTAGCTGGTTATTTTGCTCATTAGTTGATGCAGTTTTTTCATTGTGTCAATGGTCTTTATAATTTGGTATGTTTTTGCAGTGGCTGTTACCAGTTGTTCCTTTCCGTGTTTAGTGCTTCCTTCAGGAACTCTTGTAAGGCAGTCCTGGTGGTGACAATATCTCTCAGCATTTGCTTGTAAAGGATTTTATTTCTCCTTCAATTATGAAGCTTAGTTTGGCTGGATATGAAATTCTGGCTTGAAAATTCTTTTCTTTAGGAATGTCGTATATTGGCCCCCACTCTCTTCTGGCTTGTAGGCTATCTGCCAAGAGATCCACTGTTAGTCTGATGGGCTTCCCTTTGTTGGTAACTCAACCTTTCTCTCTGGCTGCCCTTAATATTTTTTCCTTCATTTCAACCTTGGTGAATCTGATGATTTTGTGTCTTGGGGTTGCTCTTCTTGAGGAGTATCTTAGTGGTGTTCTCTGTATTTCCTGAATTTGAATGTTGGCCTGTCTTGCCAGGTTAGGGAAGTTCTCCTGGATAATATCCTTAAGAGTTTTTTCCAACTTGGTTCCATTCTTTCTGTCACTTTCAGGTACACCAATCAAACGTAGATTCAGACTTTTAACATAGTCCTCTATTTCTTGGAGGCTTTGTTCATTTCTTTTCACTCTTTTTTCTCTAATCTTGTCTTCTTGCTTTATTTCATTGAGTTGATCTTCAATCTCTGATATCCTTTCTCCTGATTGATTGATTCAGCTATTGATACTTGTGTATGCTTCTTGAAGTTCTTGTGCTGGGTTTTTCAGCTCCATCAGGTCATTTATATTCTTCTCTAAACTGGTTATTCTAGTTAACAATTCGTCTAACCTTTATTTTTCAGGCTCTTAGCTTCCTTGCATTGGGTTAGAACATGCTCCTTTAGTTCGGAGGAGTTTGTTATTACCCGCCTTCTGAAGCCTACTTCTGTCAATTCATCAAACTCACTGTCTGTCCAGTTTTGTTCCCTTGCTGGCGGGGAGTTGTGATCTTCTGGAGGAGAAGAGGCATTCTGACTTTTGGAGTTTTCAGCATTTTTGCACTGGTTTCTCCCCATCTTTGTGGATTTATTTACCTTTGGTCTTTGATGTTGGTGATGTCGATACTATTCCTTTCTGTTTGTTAGTTTTCCTTCTAACAGTCAGGTCCCTCTGCTGCAGGTTTGCTCGAGTTTGCTGGAGGTCCACTCCAGACCCTGTTTTCCTGGGTATCACCAGTGGAGGCTCAGTTGGAAATGCATGAACCACCTGACTTCTGTGTTGATCTCACTGGGTGCTGCAGGCCGGAGCTGTTCCTATTCAGACATCTTGCCAGCTCTCCTGTAATACTTTAATGAATGGGTGTAGTCCTCTCTTCTCAAGGTCCCCAAATATCTTGAGGTTCCTGGCCCATCAGAAAGTGACATTCTTTATTTCTTACCACAAGAATAGCAACTTTGTAAAGGACCTTTGTATACAGGACATCAAGCCAGTCATTCTAAGGGGCTTTGTATTGGTGCTATAAAGTCAACCTCAATTCCTTAAAGTGGTCTGGTTGTATCTGCCATTCGAGTTAAAGCCTTGATAAAACAAACAGTGTCTCCAATTGAATCTTGTTACCAAAAACAGATTCTTATTGAAATTATGCAAATAATTATATTGCCATAATTTAAGAATGCTCACGAATGGCTTCTGAATTCTGGAGAAATCAGCTAGAGAGACAGATAAATGGCTCAAATTTTTGTTCACAATGTAGTTTATCTAATGTATTGTAAGTTAAAAATAGCTGAAAAGAAAAAAAATTATTGACTTTGGAAAACAAAACATAAAGAGGATCAACAATGTTTCTAATGGGAGGGCCATGGATAAAATCTTTTCCTTCTTTTATAAGTTCACTCCCATGTAACTAAATCTTGTTCTGCTTGATTTCAAATAGCAATTCTCATTCAGTTTTTTGTGTTTTGCTTGATTTCAATTAGAAATTCTCATTCAGCTTTTTAGAGTCCTGGAAGATTTTCCTAGTCCAATGGTTTGATCCCCAAAGTTATCTGAAACCATATTTAAGAGAACTTGTCAGAATCCTTTCCATTAAAAGTAATTTAGATGATAGCTGATTGTAAAGGCTTTTTTTTTGAGACACGGTCTGGCTCTATCACTCAGGATGGAGTGCAGTGGCATGATCTTGGTTCACTGCAATCTCTCCCTCCCAAACTCAAGCCATCCTCCTACCTCACCCTCCGAAGTAGCTGGGACCATAGGCATGCACCATCATGCCTGGCTAATTTTTGTATTTTTGTAGAGATGGGATTTTACCATATTGCCTAGGCTGCTTTCAAACTTCTTAGTTTAAGCAATTCACCCACCTCAGCCTTGCAAAGTGCTGGGATATTTACACGCATGAGCCTCCATGCCCTGCACCATGCCCAGCACCGTGCCCTGCATGGCCTCCAGCACCGTGCCCGGCCTGTAAAGGGTTTTAGAGAAGAACTTTAATCAATCACCGTGGATGACAAAAACTTAGAATAGCCGTTGGTTAAAATCCAGTGGAAGTTCTCAAATCTCGAGAAAATTTAGTTATTTGTATTATATGTAGCATTTTAAGATAACAGCCAGAATCATGACTGATGGCAACACATCAGATCCATCAGACTTCCAGAAATTTTATATAATCTTTAGAATATTTATATTAATAATATATCTATACACATACAACTTTAGAAAATATTTAACATCATCAAAATTATGACTGAAACCCTATTAGATTTTTATAATTTATATAACTTTTAAAATATTTATATTAATAACATACCTATAAATGTAACCAAAAGAAGATTTAAGCTGGGCACAGTGGCTCATGCCTGTAATCCCAACACTTTGGGAGGCCAAGTTGGACAGATCATCAGAGGTCAGGAGTTCGACACCTGCCTGGCCAACATGGAGAAATCTTGTCTCTACTAAAAATACAAAATTAGCCGGGTATGGTGGCACTTGTCTGTAGTCCCAGCTACTTGGGAGGTTGAGGCAGAAGAATTGCTTGAACCTTGGGGCAGAATTTGCAGTGACACTAGATCATGCCACAGCACTCCAGCCTGGGTGACAAAGCAAGACTCTGTCTCAGAGAAAAAAAAAAAGAAGATTTAGTGTTACTTAACTTTTGGCAATGCTTCCCATACAATGTTATCAACTAAGTTTTAGCAAAGATGTCAAAAAATTGAAAACATTTGACCAAAACGGAATGGCAGTTTATTGTTTTTTATTTTATTATTTTTTTGAGACAGGGTCTCACCCTGTTGCCCAGGCTGGAGTGCAGTGGTGAAATCATGGCTCACTGCAGCCTCAACCTCCCAGGCTCAGGTGATCCTCCACCTTAGTCTCCCAAGTAGCCAGGACTATGAGCACTTGCTACCACACCTAGCTAGCTTTTGTATTTTTAGTAGATATGGGGTTTTGCCATTTTGCCCAGGCTGGACTTGAACTCCTGGGCTCAAGTGATCCACCCACCTTGGCCTCCCAAAGGGCTGGAATTACAGACAAGAGCCGCTGCACACAGCCACATGTCATTTTTAAATAACATTCATTTAATTAACATGACAACCAAAAGACATCAAAAGCAACATAGAAGGTTACATGGATGTGAAAACTGAAAACCCTCAGTTTTCCCAAGTAATTAAAAAAACAATAAAGGCAACACATGGATTATCTTGATAAAACCTAAAATCTTTATTACAGGCCAGTCATTTAAAGGGTAAAAGCTCCTGTGGCATAATTGTGTCTTCTTATGGGAAGCTAATTTAAATCACTTGGAAGTCAAACCGATGACACGGAGACTTGAATTTAATTAGACATAGAAAGAGTGTGTCCAGGGTCATGAGTGAGCATAATATTACAGAGGAATGTAAACAGGAAAACCAGAGCATAGAGCAGTGGGGATCCATAGCTCACAATGATAGCATGGAAGTTTCCTGCTGTATCCTGGTTACATGAAGTAATTAAGACATATTTAAAAGCCAAGAGTACAAAATTAGACCTGATGAAAAAGCTGAAGGAGTTATCATCCCAGCCAAGCAGGAAACCCAAGCCTTTTATTCCTTCTCAAGAAGAAACAGAAGACAATGATGTGATCTGTGAGTCATGTGTAACATGAAAGTACAGGAAACGTTGAACTTCTGATATACAAATCTGAAAAGATTTTATAGTAACAGATATCAGGATTAAAAGTCAATATTTATTACCTCTTATTATGAGCAAATACATGCATTAAGAAAACCTTGTTGTTTTAACCAAAATTTTTTTGTTTTTTATCACTATGTTTTTAATATTACAGCTAATTTAAATAAACTTTATAAACAATCTATCTGATCTCAATCAGTTTTGACCTCGAGGTAAGATTTACATAAACTTTTAATAACCTTGTATAATTTTTTCCATCTTTCCCAACTTTTTATACACATTTAGTTTTATCTATCTTTTTTATTCCTTCAATTTAAAATAATCCTTAAAAATCTCTAAGCGAATTTACTTTCTCTGAAACAAAAACCCGTATAGATTTTGCATACAGAATTGTTTCTCTTGTATCTAGTAGTCTTAATCACATATATCTACCAAGATATTAACACTTAGTAACCCTTATTTTAATAAAAAACTTAGGAAGAAAGAAATCTTGAATTGTCATATAGCAGTATCTTACATATGAGAATGATTTCATAATTTAGAATTATGTGTTCCTAAAACATATTTTTTAAGGTGGATTTTCGCTCTTGTTGCCCAGGCTGGAGTGCAATGGTGTGATCTCAGCTCACTGCAACCTCCGTCCCCCAGGTTCAAGCAATTCTCCTGCCTCAGCCTCTCGAGTAGCTGGGATTACAGGAACCCACCACCACACCTGGCTAATTTTTTGTATTTTTTAGTAGAGATGGGGTTTCACCATGTTGATCAGGCTGGTCTTGAGCTCCTGACCTCGGGTGAGCCACCCGCCTTGGCCTTCCAAAGTGTTGGGATTACAGGCATGAGCCATAGTGCCTGGGCTAAAACATAAGTTTTAAATTGGAAATAACCCAGATATTTAATGAGTATCTATTATTTAATTTAACATAACTAAAATTTCAAAAATAGGCTGGGCATGGTGGCTCACACCTGTAATCCCAACACTTTAGGAGGCCAAGGCAGGAGTATCGTGAGACCAGCCTGAGCAAATAGCGAGATGCTGACTCTACAAAAAAAATAAAAGTTAGCTGACCATGGTGTTGCATGCCTGTAATTAACAACTTCTTGGGAGGTTGAGGTGGGAGGATCCCTTGAGTGCAGGAGGTCAAGGTTGCAATGAGCTGTGATCATGCCACTGCACTTCAGCCTGGGTGACAGGCAGAGACATTGGCTCAAAAAAATTTCAAAAATACATTAAAATGTCTTGTATAGACATTTATCCATTTACATTTACTTATTTTTGACAGTTTATCTAGAGTATTTGTGAGAACTGAGGTATTAGACAAAGCTAGTCATCATTTCTAGGTTATTTTCTTGTTAACCATGTTATAGCCTGTGAATATCAGGTGTTCACATAAGTGAGGATTTCAGAGTTAAATACAAGGGTATTTTACCAATAACTCAGAAAATTCCATTATTTTTGTTCAACAAACCGTATTAAATTGGTCTTATGTATTTAAAAAATCACATAAACAAATATTCTTTTTTTCCTGTGTTTATAGCTTTATAACCTTCATGCCAAACCCTAGCACCTTAAAATATCTAGCAAATGTAAATATAAAACACAGTCAAAAATGTATGCTGACAATTCTGAAGACATTTCTATTTTTATTTTATCAGTACTTTTTAAATTATTTGCATTTATAAAAGAACTCTTTTGTCTGGGCACAGTGGTTCATGCCTGTATCCCAGCACTTTGAGAGGCTGAGGCAAGAGGATCACTTGAGCTCAGGAGTTTGAGACCAGCCTGGGCAACAGAGTGAGATCCAATCTCTACTAAGAATAAGATAAAAAATTGCCAGGCATGGTGGTGCATGCCTATTGTCCCAGCTACTAGAGAGGATGAGGCAGGAGGATTGCTTGAGCCTGGGAGGTTGAGATAACAGTGAGCTATGATCCCACTACTGCACTCCAGTCTGGGGAACAGAGTAAGACCTTAGAGTAAGACCTTGTCTCAAAAAGAGAAAAAAATAAAAAATTGTTTCATTCTTTTGTTTTTCTTCAGCCAAGTAACCTTGAATTGGTAACACCACAGACAGTAAGTCTTATCTCAACACCAGTAGACAAATCAGCAGATTCAAAGTAGGCAGGGAAAAAAAAAAAGATAGGCAAAAGAACTGAGACTTTTTCATTTTAGGGTTTTTAAAAATAGTAACTATTTGAGTTCTGAATTTTCTTTCATGTAATTTGGCCGTCAGGTTTAAAGTGTGCACTAGAGACCAGGTGCAGTGGCTCATTCATGTAATCCCAACACTATGGGAGGCTGAGGCAGGTGGATCACTTGAGGCCAGGAGTTTGAGACCAGCCTGGCCAACGTGACAAAACCCCATCTCTACTGAAAATACAAAAATTAACTGGGTGTGGTGGTGTGCACCTGTAGTCCTAGCTATTCAGGAGGCTGAGGCAGGATAATCGCTCAAACCTGGGAGGTGGAGGTTGCAGTGAGCCGCGATTGTACCACCATACTCCATCCTGGGCAACAGAGCAAGACTGTGTGTCAAAAAGAAAAAGAAAAAAAATATAAATATAAATATATAAATATAAATATAAATATATATATATATATATATATATATATAGGCTGGGCACAGTGGCTCATGCCTGTAATCCCAGCAGTTTGGGAGGCCAAGGTGGGTGGATCACTTGAGATCAGGAGTTTGAGACCAGCCTGGTCAACATAGTGAAACCTCATCTCTACTAAAACCACAAAAATTAGCCGGGTATGTTGGCGTACACCTGTAATCGCAGCTACTCAGGAGGCTGAGACAGGAGAATTGCTCGAACCTGGGAAGTGGAGGTTGCAGTGAGCCAAGAGCGCACCACTGCACTCCAGCGTGGGCAACAGAGCAAGACTCTGTCTCAAAAAAGTGTGTGTGTGTGTGTGTGTGTGTGTGTGTGTGTGTGTGGCTAGAATGGTCCATAATATATAGCCAGCTCGAGTCCCAGAAAACCTAGCAAGCTAAAGGTTAGAGCTTCTCATTTTGGCCTTTTCAAGATTAAATCTCCTTTAGTAAGCCCTTCCCCTCTAGGGAGGTACTTGCCGGAGCGCTGCCTGAAGTTGGTTTTCTGATGCCCTGTTGTACCTGTCCTGAATAGTTTATTTCTCATTATAAGAGCTCAGCAAAGCAGGCAGAGTTAAAAAGCAGAGACATGAAGGCTTTAAAATCATGGACTTCACTCCTACACTGAATCTCAGGTCCCCGGAAAGACAGAAACACCATGGGACCACAGCAAAGGCAGAAGGAGGAGTGAGAGAGGGAGGTGGACAGAACAACAAACAGGAGTTGGCTCTCAATTTTTCACGTGTGCCATTTTCTTTAGGTTTTTCTAGTTTATTGAGTCTCTTTGTTCCAATTGAGCACACAGATAAACTAGAAATCTCACAAGGCTTTTGCTGAGAACATCAAAGCCTTTAACCTCTGTTGGGCCAAATATTTAGACCAAAAATACAGATAGACACACAAAAGCCAGAACCAGACCAGATTGAGTAGCTCAGTAGCTACAGCCTTTATTCCCTTTATTCTTTAGGGTTCGAACTCAAACGAGATTCAGGATTCTAACCCAACCAGGACCCCCCTGGGGTGAAACTGAAACCCCACAGTCTAGACAAGGTTGAGGGTCTTTTTTTATTTTTTATTTTTTTGAGATGGAGTTTCACTCTTGTTGCCCAGGCTGGAGTGCAATGGTGCAATATTGCCTCACAGCAACCTCCCCCTCTCAGGTTTAAGCACTTATCCTGCCTCAGCCTCCAAAGCTGAGATTACAGGCTTGTGCCACCATGCCCAGCACATTTTGCATTTTTAGTAGAGACGGGGTTTCTCCATGTTGGTCAGGCTGGTCTCAAACTCCCAACCTCGGGTGATCCGCACACCGAAGCCTCCCAAAGTGTTGACATTACAGGCATGAGCCACCGCGCCCGGCCTGCTTGTTCTTTTCATTTCATCCTGATCTCCGAATACAGGAGAGTAGCTGATTTGGTGTTCACTAACAAGCACAGAAGCTTTGTTACATTTACAGTGTCATTCTTGGCAAAACCTGAAGTTTTGCCTCCCGGGTTCATGCCATTCTCCTGCCTCAGCCTCCTGAGTAGCTGGGACTATAGGCGCCCGCCACCTCACCCAGCTAATTTTTTGTATTTTTAGTAGAGACGGGGTTTCACCGTGTTAGCCAAGATGGTCTCGATCTCCTGACCTTGTGATCTGCCCACCTCGGCCTCCCAGAGTGCTGGGATTACAGGCGTGAGCCACCGCGCCCAGCCAGAAGCTCTAATTTCAATGATGATTGTGCTTTTTATCTCTTCCTCAGCATCTGACTCATGATAAAATTTCAGGTGTCTTGATGGTATCTAAATCAGTTGTTGATTCGGTCCTGGAGAAACACAAGCATAATCTCTATGCCAAGTTATAATTTTACCTATTTCCCAACTTTTTGTTATTGGATCTCTCCACCAAACCAGTTGTTCTGCTTCTCTCTTTGCAGCTAGTTTCTGTAGATGCTGTTCAGCTGCTGGTAACATCTGGCCTTTGGGCAGGCTCAAAAATTTGAAAGTTAATAATGATAGATTCAATTGTGTATTGGCTACCCGTAATCCCTGTTTCTCCCCCTTTTTTTGTTTTTATTATCAGTTGTTCATCTGTATGAAATCGTAACTGAGCATTTTCAATTAACTGTGTGGAATGAACCATGTATGAAGAATCAGAAATCACATTAACAGGCATATCAAAAGCAGTCAATACCTCAATTACAGCTACAAGCTCCGCTTTTTGAGCTGAAGTATAGGGTGTCTGGAAAACTTTACCTTTTGATCCAGAATAAGAAGCTTTACCATTACTAGACCCATCTGTGAAACAACGAAAACGCTTAGCAGGCTGCAGGTTGTTTACTGCAGGAATTGTAAATGCAAACCGTTCACAGTCTTGCTCAGCTAAAAGGGTAGTAAAGTAACAGTCTTTTAAATCTGTGACTATTAAAGGCCAATTTTTTGGAATTATAGTAGGAGAAGGCAATCCTGGCTGTTATGTTTCCATAGGTTGTATAACTGAATTGATGGCTCTTAAGTCAGTTAACATTCTCCATTTACCTGATTTTTTCTTAATTATGAACACTGGAGAATTCCAAGGGGAAAATGTTGGAGCTATGTGCCCATTTTCTAATTGTTCAGTAACTAATTTCTCTAAAGCATCCAGTTTCTCTTTGCTTAGCAGCCATTATTCTATCCAAATTGGCTTATCTGTTAACCATTTTAAAGGTATAGGTTCTGGAGGCTTAACAGTGGCCACCATCAAAAATGGTATCCTAATCTTTGGCAGGAACTTTGTCTTTCCGTTTGAAGCAGTTCTTTCAAACCTTGCAATTTTTTTCTACTCCTATACCAGGGACATGCCCCATTTCGTGCATCATATGTTGACTTTGAGGGCTGTATAATTGCTATGGAATTAGAACTTGTGCTCCCCATTGTCATAATAAATCTCTCCCCCATAAATTTATAGGTACAGAAGTTGCAATTGGTTGAACAGTCCCAGGTTGTCCATCGGTCCCTTCACAATGCAAAATATAGCTACTTTGATACACTTCTGGGGCTTTAGCAGTTTCCACTGTGTTAAATTGAGTGGGCTGAATTGGCCACATGGACGGCCAGTGCTGTAGAGAAATGATTGAAATGTCCACTCCTACCAAAAAAAAAAAATTGTATCTACCAAACCTTTAAAGTTCTTTCCCTGGATAGTTATTTCACAGATAGGATGTTTATCAGTAATTTGATTTACCCAATAAGCTGCCTTGCCTTTTTTATTTGTGCTTCCAAATCCTCCAGTTCATTTAATTTCACTTTTTCCCATTCCCACATACTTCACACTCAGGAGCTGTGCTATGCCCACTCCTGGCTGTGCTTTCCAGGGAAAAGAAGTAGATATCACAATTTGAATTTCCTCATTGTAATCTGAATCAATGACTCCAGTGTGTATTTGTACCCCTTTTAAACTTAAACTAGACCTTCCTAAAAGTAATCCCATTGTCCCTCCTGGCAACGGTCCACAGACTCCTGTTGGAACCTTTTGCGGGGGTTCCCCAGGCAGAAGGCTCACAGCTTTTGTGCAGCATAAGTCTACTGCGACACTATGGGCTATGGTGGGGGACAGATAATGTACGGGTGTGAGGGAATGGCCTGAGCTAGAAATGCCCTGGTTTAGAACAGGGCCTGGGATGGGCCCCCCAGGGAGTTTCCCGAAATCGGGTTCCCTTGTTTATCAAACTTAGAGTGACACTGATTAGCCCAAAGTTTTCCTTTTTTACATTTTGGAAATATTTCAGGATCAGCAGTTTTCTTTTTTCACCTATCTGGTGACCTGACTTGCTGATTTTTTTTTTTACATTCTTTTTAGTATGACCATGTTTCCCACAGTTAAAACAAGCTCCAGGAAATAGAGTATTTCCTTTATCCACTCTCAGTCCTGCCGTCGCCTGTGCCAACAAAGTAGCTTTATGTAGATTATCTCTGATATCATCACAGGCCTTGTTATAATCAACTAAATGTGCTTTCCCTCTGATAGGTCGCAGAGCAGCCTGGCAATAGGGATTAGCGTTGTCAAAACTAATAACTGCAACACTATATCCTAAGCAGCCAAATCTGCAATCATCTTTTTAAGAGACTCCTGTAACCAAGCTATAAAATGCACATATGGTTCTCTTGGTCCCTGTTTTATAGCACTAAATGAAGGGTATTGTTCTCCATATGAAGTGATTTTTTCCAAGCTCTAATGCACACTCCTCTAAGCTGTTCTATGGCATCATCCTGCTTGACTACTTGTGCATGTAAACCAGCCCAGCCACCAACCCCCAAAAGTTGGTCTGCAGTTATATTAATTTGAGGTTGGGCCCAGGCATTGCGAGCAGCCTGAATGGAAGCTTCATCTGCCCACTAAGTTTTAAATTGTAAGAACTGAGCAGGAGTTAGACAAGCTAGAGTAAGAGTGTCCCAGTCAGTAGGAATCATCCGACTGGAAACAGCAACATTCTTTAACAGTCCCATTTCAAAAGGAGAACCTGGTCCATACTGATTTATAGCTTGTTTAATTTTTTTGAGTAATTTAAAAGGAAAAGATTCAAATGTAGCTATAATATTTCCCTGTTGATCTGGGGGGTGTATTCAAACAGGGAACTGCCAAGCCTCTAAATCCCACTTTTGTCTAGCTTGCTGAATTCCTGCCTGAATAGAACTAAGCAGTCGCTCAAGGCGGTGCTCGAACAGTCACCAGGGCAACTACTTTTCACCCAGTGTCCTCCAGAAAAGAAAGATCTGGAGGGTCGTTTTCTTCAAAATAATAATGAGGGGGTGCAGAAGGGTAGGGATGAACCTCTCCCTCCTTTTCTGCTTTAGCTTTAGGTGGCAAATAAACCTGGTCTGTAACCTCTACTGTTACTTTGATATACTCTCCTTCCTCCTCATTATCAGTGTGAAAAAGTTCCAAGGTAGAACGAACCACAGCCCACACTTGTCCCATTGTTACCCTGATGCTTCCGAGCTCCCCTTCTGACTCACCACGGGGATTGCTTTAAGAGTACTCGGATGTCCTCCAGCTAGTTCCACATTCTCCAATCGTTGCTCCAGCGATCCTTTGACCTGTATTCGAGCCCCCATGAATGGGCACCACTTGCTGAGACCAGGTCGGTTGGGGAGACCCTAACCCAGCAGCACTAGAGGAATTAAAGACACACACACTGAAATATAGAGGAGTGAAGTGGGAAATCAGGGGTCTCACAGCCTTCAGAGCTGAGAGCCCTGAACAGAGATTTACCCACGTATTTATTAACAGCAAGCCAGTCATTAGCATTGTTTCTATAGATATTAGATTAACTAAAAGTATCCCTTATTCTTAAGGCACAGATCACTCATGCTATTGTTTGTGGCTTAAGAATGCCTTTAAGTGGTTTTCCACCCTGGACGGGCCAGGTATTCCTTGTCCTCATTCTGGTAAACCCACAACCTTCCAGCGTGGGTGTTATGGCCATCAAGAACATGTCACAGTGCTGCAGAGATTTTGTTTATGGCCAGTTTTGGGGCCAGTTTATGGCCGGATTTGTGGGGGCTTGTTCCCAACAGTTCCTCAGGGTAAGGGTGCCCTAACTCCTGTGGGGACCTTCTTTCGTGGCTCCCCAGGAAGTAAGGAGATGGGAATTGTGCTGTAGAGGTCTACAGCAGCACTGCTTGCTGAGGCGGGGGACAATTGCTGTACATTTGTAAGGGCAGTGGCTGTGCTGGGTATGCCTCAGTTTGTTGAGGGGCTTGAGGCGGGTCCCTCTTCCTATTTCCTCAAAGAGGTTGTCTATCTTTGCTAAATTTAGAATGACACGGACTTGCCTAGTGATTGCCTTTCTTACACCAGGGACATACACTGGGTCTTTTCTGTTGATTCATGGTAGTAGTTTTCGTCTTTTGAATTCCTTTCTACATTCCTTTCTTGTGTCCAATTTGCCCACAATTAAGGCAAGAGCCTGAGAAATGAAGCATATTTTTTCTTACTCTTAATCTAGCCATAGCCTGAGCTAAAAGAATAGCCTTATGTAAGTTACCTCCAATGTCATCGCAAGACTTAATATATTTAGTTAAATGAGCCTTCTCTCTCAGATATCTAATAGCAGTTTGACACTCTGCATTAGCATTATTGTATGCAAGAAGCTGTATTACAACATCCTGAGTTGTTTTGATCATTTACGGCTTTATACACAGCCTCTTGGAGCTGAGCAATAGAATTAATATATGGTTCTTTAGGTCCTTGTCAGACAGAACTTAAATAAGGATACTTTTCCCCTGTAACATTTATCCTTTTCTATGCATGTAAGCACATGAAGCACAGCTGAATAATGGCAACATCTTCCATTACTGCTTGATTCTCTAATCAACCCCAGTTAGGGCCAACTCATATTAACTGATCAAAGAAAACAGGCACAGGTGGCTGCACGTGTGTGTTTTCTTTTGCCTGAGTTTGAGTTCATCAGCCTACCAAGTTTTAAACTGCAAGTACTGAGATGGGAGTGAGAACAGGTTTTGTCAAAGTATCCTAATTATATGGTAGTAATGTATTATCAAGAGCCATATTTTTTAATAAAGATTGCACAAAAAGACAGTTCAGTCCATATTGACTAATGGCTTGCTTAAATTCTTTAGTAACTTAGAAGAAAAAGCAGGCTAATTAGCTATATTCTGTCCTACTTGCTGGATTATAGTAACGGGAAATTGCCATGCTTCAAGGTCTCCCTTGGCTTTAGCTTTTTGAATAGAATTTTGTCTAGCACCACCAACTGCTCCAGGTTTTAATGTTGTAACTACAGGAGCAGTAAGTTTTTCAGCTAATTTATTTTCTCACCCATTTAGGGGAGAGAGAGGAGGTGGCCATTCACTTAATTCAGCAGGTGGAGCCAACGGGCTAGTAAAACATACTTTTTAAAGTTTTTCTTTCTTTTCTTTAATCTCCTCCGGTAGCTGCTCCTCACACTCAGAATTTGAAGTTAGTTTTTTACACTCATCCTCCTCTTCCTCATCTGAATCTGCCTCATCATCTGTTTGAAATGGCTCAAGGGCTGCCTTTATTAGTGCCCACACTGACCATATATAAACTGGAATTTCTGCTCCATCTTTATATGCCTATTAAAAATCTCTTCCAATTCTCTCCCATTCATCCAACTTCATAGTCCTTTGTTCTGGAAACCATGGGCAAAACTGCTTTACTGTACTAAAGAGTAATAACAAATTCTAAGTACTAACTTTCACTCCCCATCTTTGTATGTCCTCGGGTGTCTTTTGATGATGTGTCCTCTGTTTTCATATGCTCTAGCCTTCCTTCACCGGGTCTTTGTCACCCTATGTTGGGCGCCAGGAATGTTGGGGTGATCAGACCCAACACTAGGTCATGGGGGTGATGAAGTCCGGCAGAGTCAAAGGAATGAGAAAAAGACAGTTTGAGAGAGAAAGTGGGACCAGGAGACCATCACGAGTATGGAGTCTGCAAAGTCCCCAAGCTCTGGGAGCCCACGCTATTTGTTGGTGCTCAAACAAAGAAACAGGTGGTGAGGATGTGGGGGTTGAAAGGAAATGGTGTATCAAGTGAATGAGAAACATATGGCCCTGCCTCAGCTTCTCTTCCAACACTCAGCTTTTCTCCCAACACATTCCCCTTATGAACAGGAATAAAATAGGGATGCCTGTTCTCCCCACTCCTGTTTAACAAGTCCTAGCCAGAGCAAGCAGGCAAGAGAAAGCAATAAAAAGCATCCAAATAGGAAATGAAGTCAAATTATCTCTCTTCACTGATGATATGATTCTACACCTAGAAATCCCTAAAGACTGTGCCAAAAGGCTCCTAGAACTGATAAAAAAAACTTCAGCAAACTTTCAGGATAAAAAAAAACAACATATAAAAAGAAGTAGCATTTCTGTTCACCAAAAATGTTTAAACTGAAAGGTAAATCAAGAGTGCAATCCTGTTTACAACAGCAACCCCCAAAATAAAATAAAATAAAGGAAGAATATGTCTAACCAAGGAGGTAAAGGATATCTAAAAGGAGAACTACAAAACACTGCAGAAAGAAATCATAGATCTCGAAACAAATGGAAAACCATTCCATCCTCATGGATTAGAAAGATCAATATTGTTAAAATGGCTATACTGCCAAAAGCAATCTACACATTCAACACTATTCCTATGAAACAACCAATGTCGTTTTTCACAGAATCAGAAAAAAAAATATTCTAAATTTCATATGGATTTTTAAAGAGCCCAGACAACCAAAGGAAATCTAAGCAAGAAGAACAAAGCTGGAGACATCACATTACTTGACTTCATACTATACCCTAAGGCCACAGTAGACAAAATAACATGGTACTGATATGAAAACAGACACAAAGACCAATGAAACATAATAGAGAACCCCAAAATAAACACATGCACCTATAGCCATCAGCTTTCTCAGGATAACACAAAGAGAGCCAAGTGGCACCTGCACATTACACTGTGGAAGAAAAACCCAAGCTCAAGAAACCCCAACTTGTGTTATTGGAAGTTCACTTGGCTGTATGCTTCCCAAGAGGGAGAAATTATCTGCATTATACTAGACAGTAAATAAACTTTTCCTTTGTTCCAGAAGGAGGTACTGGTTTTCTATTCCAAGGCTGTTTTCTATACAAACATGCTTGAAAACAATCATTTGGAACAATAAATTCAGCGTCCATACTTGCAAAATGTGCGTAAATTAAAGACCCAAAAATTGTTTCTCTACCAATTTCTATTTTTTAAAAATCAAATTTTCCCCATATAATATGCTTTTAATATGTGATCATATTCTGAAATTGTCTTAGCATTTACTCCCATTTCTGAGTCCAGAAGGATACAATAGATTTAATTTAATTTAGTAACACTTCAAATAGTAGTGATTGTAATAGCAGAGCTAGTTTGTAGCATAAAGAAAAAATAATAATATTATTAGGTGACACTTACAAATAATGCTAGTCACCATTTCTAAGTGTCTTGGGAAGTACAGTGATTATTTTCTTTCTTTCTGACTCTTTTTTACTTTATTTTTTATTTTTTTCCATAGGTTATTGGGGTACGGTGGTATTTGGTTCCATGGGTAAGTTCTTTACTGGAGATTTGTGAGATTTGGGTGCACCCATCACCCGAGCAGTGTACACTGCACCCTATTTGTAATCTTTTATCCCTCGCCTCCCTTCCTATTAAATAATAGACCAGAAATAATGGGTTTAGAATAAATGAGTTCAAATGAATTGTCAAACGTATGTGGGAAAAGTGGAATCAGTTTTTGAGAAAAAGCAAAAAACTCAACAGAAATGCTGATAAAGCATCATCCCTTCATGGCTAGAGCTGCCAGTACCCCAGAACACCAAAATCAGCTAGGGAAATTTTGTAGAAGTCCCAGATGTACTAAATGTTCTGTGAATACACAGAGATATAATTATAACTGTTACCTGCATGTAGAGTAAAGATGAGAAGGCATTGGTCATGGTGGCAGCTACCTCAGGAGTTACAAAGCAGACGTGGTCCCAGGACAGTATATGTCAGGGCAAAGCTGTCCTCGGAGGCTATTAGGAGCTGGTTATGGCACAGACATTGTAAGTCAGATGGTCTCATTACTTTCAATGACAAAACCAAAATTACTTTTGCATCAGCCAATACAACGGCCTGGCAAGAGCACAGAAAAAGGCCCTGTGCTGTTAGGTGGGGACCTCTGATGCAGCACAATTCCTTCATTCCCTTCTCCAAAACCCCCTCTTCCAATTCCACTGAAGAGAGAATCTGATGGAAGTGCTGTGTAAGCAGGCTCAGATATATCTACCACTATAGATAGTAGAGGTGATTCACAAATCCAAGCCTATCAAATACATCATAAATAAGTTACACGTTTAATTTTTTTTGAAATTAGGGATCATGATATGAAAGTTATCAGAATCAAAACTGTCACTAATGTTTAAAAAGAGAAGAAGAAACCTGAACAAATAGATTCAGAGAAGGCCTTGAAGAGAGGGTTCTCATGCTTCTAGGCCTGATAAAAACTATTACAAAATACCACAAAAACCACAACCTTGCACAAAGGCCATAGCAACCTTACACAAAATACACTTCTGTGAGGACATCTATCCAGCAACCGCCTGCCCAAACTTCAACTGATATTGACCTTGTTGTTGATCTTTATAGTCAAAGGTAACTATATCAAAACAATTATAGAAGCCTCTTCATTTTCCCTTATTTATTTTTTTCTACTCCCCCATACTTCCAGGTTGATCATTTTTCTTTTAAAGACCTTGTCTTCCTTTACCATTTGAATCTATATAGTTTGCTTTGTCATGCATATTCCCATCGCAGTGCCCTCCTCCCTAAGATGTGTCTTTTTCCTTTAGAGAGCCTTTCTCTGTTTGTTATTTAGGTTTACAATGAGAAGGCGTGTAAAGTATTTTTACTGTCTTCCTAGGAAAAAATCACTGACTTACAGTATTTATATTTATTTATTTACATTCCTGGGGATGAGGAATTAAAGATTTCACAAATTTTCTTATTGAGAAGATCCAAGTTTTCATGTGAGCAAAACTGAATATGTAAATTGATATGTAAATTATGCTGCAGATAATATGGTCAAATGTTTACTTGTATATAATTTGTTACACATGAATATTGCATATGTAAGATAATATACTAAGAAATTATCACATTTAATGAAATGCTTTAATCAAATTACTGATTGAACTTTTGATATCAATATCTTTTTCATTGTTTAATCCATCTTTAGGGTGAACAGGGCTTTATAGGCCAAAGTTATCACTTCTATCTAAATTGTCTGAGTTACAGAACTTTTTGAATTTATTATGTTGTCACAGGAAGTTTCTTATTGCTGTTTAAAGGAGTGTCTCTCAATATGATGCAGAATGCAAACTCACTGAAGGGCATATATCCTGAGTTTCTGTTACTGAAGCCAAAGGTTGCCAATTTCTTGTAGATCCTGCTAGAGTTAAACTTCATTTAAGTAATCATTAAAAGCTGCATTTATTCCCTCACTTGAAATTTTGATTTCACACTATTAGGACTAATCCTCTAAGTCTTTGCTAAGTTATGTTCCTCTTTTTCTTGTAGCTTGACTCTGATGATCTCTATATGCAACATCAATTGACATAAATTAAAGTACATTCAGGGCAAGAGAGTTTCTTTAAATATTACTTTGTTATTCAAAATAATCACAAAAGCACTCATCGTAGGAAAACTTGTGAGGACTCAAATATAGGGAAATACTTTTTCTTTCTAAGGCACAATTCTCTAAAGAAGTTCACCTTAATTTGAATATACATGGGAAAATATCCTTGTTCACTAATAGTCTATATTCACTCTGTTTTCTTCCCTCATAGACTAGCCGGTTCACTATTATTCTCCAAATGATGTGTGCTTCTCTAGAGTCCAGGCTATCTGCATATCTAATTTTTCCCACAAATTACTGTTTTGAATTGCACTGAATTCAATTCAAGGGGATGTCATTTATAAACAGTGCAAATATATACTGCACGAGGGATCTTAGAAATCATACACATGGTTTGATCCATAAGCTCATATGAGCGTGCAATGTCAACTTTTTTCATGTTTTTTTAAATCCACTTAAATTCTATTTTAAGCCATCATCTGCCTGTGCTGTTAGGGCAGTTAGCCTTCAATCATTTTAAGATGCTCCCCTCTAAGTACTGTGATAGTGATAGAGATATCACCAGTCAGGTGTCCTAGGAAGCCGACTCCGAGTTGGAGATTTGCATGCAAGGAGGTTGAAATGATATTCCCAACACCTGTGGAAGAGTGAAAGCAATAGGATTGGGTGGAGCAGGAAGTCGGCTGGAATGCAATCACTATCATGGCCGCAGTCCACTCTACAAGATCTTGGTGAGTTTACCTAATGACCTCGAATTGGAGCAAGAAAACCAGGCCATTATATTTCTGTACCAAGCAGTTCTCGGATGTGGGATGCCTTGAGAAGGGACATGAACTTGGATGAAGGAACTTTACTGTGCTGTGAGTATTGTTGCCAGGAGTCAGCTGTCAACACTCCCAGGAGACGGGAAATTATGCTTTAGTCACTGAGGCGGCATGTAGTGTCAGACCACAGCCTTGTTAAACAGAGCCAGAATTTGGAGGATGGTTGGTGGGTTTAACATTTGGGGCTTGACATCTTGTCCCCACAAGCTGCTGCTGGCCTCTTCCATGTCCATTTCTGTGTGACCTGTTAAGGAGCCCCAGCTTCCTGCTTCTTCTTTACCATATTTGGAATGCAAAAATCTACACGTAATTTGGCCCATGGACCCTTCTGCTTAGACATATCCTTGTAGCTATTTTTTTTTTAAAAGATGACTATGCCTTCTAGAATATTTCTAAGAAACTGCCTAAGTCACCACTGCTCACCAAGAAGCCTTTGTTTTTTCCTCTTCTTAACCATGGGAAAGGAATGTAGGAGGGTAGGGAGTGGATATTTTCTAACCTGGAAAAAACTCATTTTACCCTATATGATTTTTGTTAACAAATTCCTTCTTTGCACTTACTCCACAATCTTTCCAAATTCTCCCAAATGCTCAAGCTTTTAAAAAACAAAAGACAGAAAGCAGGTTATTAGGTTTTCCAACAAACCTTTTCTTTCTATTCCTTTACATCAGTGGGCTTAGAATAACTCTGCTCCTGGAACTGGGAAAGGCACTTGGGAAAAGAAAGAAAAAAAAAGCTCTCAAAGTTTAACATCACAAAACATTATAGTCACTGCTATTTTATTATTTATTTATTTATTTATTTATTTATTTATTTATTTATTTATTTTTAGATGGAGTCTTGTTCTGCCACCAGGCTGGAGTGCAGTGGTGCGATCTCGGCTCACTGCAACCTCCGCCTCCTGGGTTCAAGCGATTCTCCTGCTTCAGCCTACTGAGTAGCTGGGACTACAGTCATGTGTCACCACACCCAGCTAATTTTTGTATTTTTAGTAGTGACGGGGTTTCACCATATTAGCCAGGATGATCTCGATCTCCTGACCTTGTGATCCGCCCGCCTTGGCCTCCCAAAGTGCTGGGATTACAGGCATGAGCCACCGTGAGTGACTTTGTTTTGTAATTTTTACATCATATATCCCCTGTGTTAGACCAAGAGCTTGTAAAAACCAGAAGACATACACCATTTATAGTTCAATTAGAGATGTTCACTGATAAAACTTATTCTTCCATCTGAGGGTGGTATTTGTAGTTACAGTAATGTAGATGACAATCTAAGTTATGTTCTATGAACTGTGTCACTGACATCTCAATCTACAGCTAACTTTAATTTTTTAAAAGCAGAGGAGTGGGTTGTATAGGTTTAGAAATACATTCATCAAGCTAGTTAAGTGAGATATTCAAACCTTCAACTCACTTGAATATTTACCAAATTGACTATTCATTAGCTAAAGGAGCCATATAAACAAGGTACTTTTTAAAATTCAAAATTATGTAAGGTTTTGTTTCCTTTTTATGCTGTTATGAATTGGATTGTAGAGGTTATAAGGTAAAATAAGGTTACTTTTACAGTAAAGCATACAACACATTGTCACAAGAGGGCAGCCTTTGAACATGAATTTCTTCTCAGGCATTCCTTGAAATTTTGAGACAGTTACTTTAATTAACACAACTAAATAATAAAACACTACAGAGGATCTAAGAAGATACTTTGACTTATGCATATTGTTACTTTTTTATTACTGCTAGTGGAAGATGTAATCTACAAGGAAGGCAAGGGCTGAATTTGTTTTATGTAAGAAGACAAATTTCTTTGGGTTTTAGCTTTCAAACAAGATAGTAGGTCAATGTCTAAATGAGTGTATCAAAGTTCTCACACTAGCACATGTAAATCCACCTCTTATCTACCCAAAACTCTAACCAAGCAAAGGCAAGTTGGAAGAATCAGACAAATGTAAGTGCCTAGGATACATAAATGCCACTGGATTTTATGTTTTTAACTTGCAACCTCCCAAGTTTCACTAAGAGACATGTTATTTGGAGAGGTTGCTAAAGTGTAGTTGTATGATGTCTCTGTGTATGGTTGGTCTGGACCTCTTTCTGTCCAGTGGTTGCCCTCAATTGATTAGAGTCACCTGTCTAAAGATCATGCTTACGTCCCTGGAGCAGTCCACAGCACTATCAATGTCTGACCTCCACCTTTTTCCAATTAATATTTCTGTACTTACTGAATTGGAAAACATACAGGTGTTTTTTGCCTGGTCACTTGTGGTTTTACAACACTCCCCCCGCTTCCGCACCACTGCCCCAGGTGATTTTGTTGCCAGCCAAAGTGTGAGAACTACTGGCAGCTGCTGGCAGACAGCAGCAAAGGCCCAAATCCTCGGTGTGATTTCAAGACCCCTATCTAGTTTTCAGCCATATTTCCTTCTCCTTCTCACAGCTGAGCCCACTCCTCCTGCCTCACCACCTGTAGGCTATGCTTTCCAGCCTGTGTCCAGGATTAGTCCTGATGTAAGGCACGTGGGGTTTAAGGATCTCTCTCTTCAGTCTTATTTCCGCACCATCGCTGACACATATATTCCAGTTGTAATCATGGGGCTACCTCCTTTTCTTTCCAGTCCCATGCTCATTTTCTCTATCACATTCTACCTTGTAATAACCTAAATCTTCTGGTGGGCAAGCTTCTTCCTCAATCAAATTTGTGTTTATGATTGTGTTGGGGATTGGCTTAGTAATCCAGGTACTGCTGCTGCCTTGAAAGCGGAGACTGCATCCTTCTGTCTGGATATCTTGAGTTTCTGGATTGTAAACCTTATTAGGACCCATTTTTCCTAGAATTGGAGCCTCTACTTTGTTCTTGCTACTTTAGTTCACCCAGAAATCACGATCTCTGCCTGAATTTCAAAGTGTTGGCTAGCTTAAATATCCTTTTGTGAGACTTTCATCTTCCAGCGGGGTGATTTTTTCATCTTACATACCATTGCTAATCTTTTTATCTTGAATGTAATTGAAATAGTTTTAATCTGTGTTACAAGCAACAAGAACCCCTTTTATGAGATGAAGAGGCCAGGTCAGTCTCATAACATGTGTCCCCCTCCGTGTGTTGAATTTATGTCAGAGCCAGGTTCTTTCCTATTTGACGTCTCTCACCAAATTCCAGTGTTTATGTCCTAGGAGGTGCCCAATAAATTCTAGAGTTGATACAAGCTGCAATTTTAGAGAAATTAAATTAGCAAGTAAAATTAGATTATATACAACCTAATCAACTTTTTTTTTTTTCTGAGGATGACCAAGATTTGGGCTTCAGTGACAATAGTTGTCCCCTAAATATTTATACTCAAAATCTAGGATCACCAGTACAATGTTGAATAGAGGTGATGAACACACACATCCCTTTCTTGTCCTAATCTATGTGGTTTAAACATTTACGCTTTCACCATTAAATATAGTATTGTTTATATGTTTTGTTGTGGATGCTTTCCATCACTTCGAGAAAATTTCTTTATCTAGCTTGCTGAGAGTTTTTTTTTTTTAAATCAGCAATAGATATTTCTCCAAAGAAAATATCCACATGACCAACAGATACATGAAAAAAATGCTCAGCATCACTAATCAGGGAAATGCAAATCAAAACCACAAAGAGATATTGCCTCAAGCCCTTTAGAATGGTCTTATTAAAAGAAAAAGATAACGAGTGTTAACAATGGGGAGAAATTGGAACACTTCTACAGTGTTTCTGGGAAAGTAAAACTGTGCATCCTCTATGGAAAACAGTACGGTGGTTCCTCAAATAAATTAAGAAAGTAGAACTAGCATATGATCTAGTAGTCTCACTTCAGGTTATTTATCTGAAAGAATGGAGATTGGGATGATTCTCAGGCTCATTGCAGCATTATTTACACTAATTAAAATGTGGGAATAAGGTTAATGTCTATTGGCAGATGAAAAGATAAAGAAAATGTGGTATATTCATACAACGGAATATTATTCAGCTTTAAAACAAGAAAGCCCGTCAATATGCAACATGGATGAACCTAGAGGACATTAATGCTAAGTAAAGTAAATCAGTCACAGAAGGACAAACTGTATGATTCCACTTGTATAAAGTATCTAAGATAGCCAAATTCATTAGAATCACAGATTAGAATGGTGATAGCTCTTTAAGTTGAAGTCAATTTTGCATTCCTAGGTTTTGTAATTTTGGTATCAGGATTCTGACTCATAAAACAAGTTTGGAATTTCCCCCTTCTTTATTTCTGAAATAATTTAAAAATTTTATTTTTTTAAAACGTTTGAAAGAATTCACCAGTGAAATTCTTTAGATCTGGGGTTTGCTTATTTTTTTATTTATTTAATTTTATGTTTTTATGTGCAGGTATTTTACAATTAATTTAATTACTTTAATAAATGTCAATTACTTCCTATGTTCCATTAAATCTTGTGAAATTTTTTATAAGTTTTTTTCAAGGAAGTCACCCTTTCATCCAAGTAATGAAAATTTGTATATAATGTTTCACAATATTCCATTATCTTGTTAAAGTCTCTTGTGTCTACAACTGTACAATCTCATTAATCCCTGATATGTATAATTTGCGTTTTCTTTCTTTCTCACAGAACTAACTTTTGGCCATGTTGATTTTCTCCTGTTTCTGTTTTCTGTCTCATTGATTTCTAATTTCTGTTTTATTTCCTTTCCTCTACTTGTTTTGGACTTAATTTGCTCTCTTGTTTTAGATTTTCTTTTTAAGGTAGAAATTAGTTCACTTGTTTTGAACTTCTCTTTTCTAGAATAAGCATTTATACAAAAAATTTACTCTGGGTCTGCTTAACTTTATCCCATACATTTTGATATAGTATATTTTTATTTGTATTCAGTTCAATGTATTTAAAGGTGTTTCTTATGATTTCTTCATTGAGCTAAAGGGCATTTTAAGGTGTATTTAAATCTTCCAATAGTGTAGACTTTCCTGGGTAGCTTGTTTTTACCCATTTCAACTCATTTTCATTATGGTCAGAAAGCATACTTTCCATGATTACAGTGTTTTGAAACTTCTTGAGAGATATTTTGTGGTCTATAGCCTATTGATAAATGTTTCATGTGTAGCATAATAGAACATATATTCTATTGTCTTGGTCAATATCGATTAGGTCAAGCTGTTGTCAAAATTATTTTATCTTAATTTTCTTTAGTTATTCTGTCAGCAATACAGCATTATGTCTTCATAATTACTTGACATTTTGTCATTATGAAATAGCTGTCTGTTGTAATATTGCTCGTTTGGAGGTCTACTTTTTCTTATATTAATATAGCCACATAAGATTTCTTGTCCTTGTTGTTTCCTTGGTATACTTGGAAATTATTTTACTCTCAACTTATCTATACCATAATATTTGGCATGCATCTCTTATAGGTACTTTTATTATCCAGTTTGACAATCTGTGTTTTATTTGGAGTATTTAAATTACATTTGAAATAATTACTGAAAAGGTTGGATTTAAGCCTACTATTTTTTTTTTTTTTTTTTTTTTGAGACGGAGTCTGGCCCTGTCACCCAGGCTGGAGTGCAGTGGCGGGATCTCGGCTCACTGCAAGCTCTGCCTCCTGGGTTCACGCCATTTTCCTGCCTCAGCATCCGGAGTAGCTGGTACTACAGGTGCCCGCCGCCATGCCCGGCTAATTTTTGTATTTTTAGTAGAGACGGCGTTTCACCGTGTTAGCCAGGATGGTCTCGATCTCCTGACCTCGTGATCCACCCGCCTCGGCCTCCCAAAGTGCTGGGATTACAGGCTGAGCCACTGCGCCCAGCCTATTTTGCTCTTATGTTCTATTTGCTCCATCATTTTTTGCTCCTCTTTCTTTCATGCCTTTTTATATTAACTGAACAATATTCAGCGTTCCATTTTAATTCCTTTATTGGCATTTTAGAAGAATATCTTCATATAATGTGGTGGTTCTCTAGGGATTATAATAAACATCCTGGGCTTATCGCAGTCCACTTAGTGTTAATAGTCAGCGTTTTCATGTAACATAAGGAAAAGTTGCGGCAAAATTGTTGCGTTTAGTCTCCTGTCAGAGCTATTAATTTAGAATATTTTACACACATTATCAATAGTACACTTAATTTTTTATTCAAAGCATCAGTTGTTTGTTATAAAACTAAAAAAAAAAGCCTTAGTTTTTCACGTTTATGCACATGCCATTCCTAGAGCTTCTCCTTGCTTCCTGTAGGTCAGAATTTCCGTCTGTTGTTATCTTTCTTTAGCCTAAAAAATTTCCGTTTGCATTTCTTGTATCTTGGTCTGCTAATGACAATTGTTTGAAGCTTTCTTTTATCTGAATAAATCTTTCTTTTCTCAAGAATTACTTTATCTAGTTATAGAATTTGGAGTTGACAGTTTTCTTTTGAAGATGTAGTTTCATTGCTTTTTAAAGTGTCATTTCTGATGATAGGTCATCTGTCTATTTGTTTCCACGGATGTAAATTATTTTCTCCCTCCCTTTAGCTACTTTCAAGATTTACTCTTTTTTTTGCCCAGTGGTTTGACTATGGTATGTCTACATTTGGTTCTCTTTATTTTTATTCTGTTCTTTGAGTTTCTTAAACCTGTAAGTTGATATATGCTGACAATTAGGAAAACTTTTGGTCTTTACTTTTTCAAATAGCTTTTTCTGTCTCATTTACTTCTCTACTCTTTCTAGGACTCCAATTATATTAGTGCTAGACTGGCCCTATTTTTATTATTTTTCTTCGTTTGTATTAACTGTATTGGGAAATTGTTCTTGATCTGTTTTTAAGTGCACTGATAATTTTTTGTGCCATCTTTAATTTACTGGTATGTACATAAAATGACATTTTTATATAAGATACTCTGTCTCTCAGTTCTAAAATTTGTCCTATTATCTCTTTATCATTTTTACTTCTCTGTTGAGATTCTCCATATATTCCCTCTTATGACCATCTATTCCTTAAATCCTTGAATATGCTTATAATAGCTTATTTTAAATTTCTTATATTCTAATTCCAGCGTGTGGGCCATTTCAATGTCTTAATCCATTGTTTACTTTTTTTGTTATGTGTCATATTTTCCTGGTTCTATGTCTAGGCAGATTAAATTATATGTTAGATTATGTGTATGATATTTTGTAGAGATAGGTTTGTTTATTTTCCTTTGAAGAATGACTCTTTTCTAACATTAGTCTTCTTTCCGTAGTCAAACACCAAACTTTCACTCCTGAGCTATATGCAATGGTTGAAATCTCTGCTCTGTACTAGCAATTTAGCTGTTGTTTTCTGCTGGATTCTATGGAGTCTCCTTTTATGAATGTGAAATTTAGCAGCCATCATATATTTGAATGAAGTTGAAGTGCTGATTTTAGATTTTTACTCTGTGATATTCTCCTCTGTGACTTTCAGTTGTGTGAGATGTCCTCCCATGTCATTCAAATTTCCCAGTTCCTCTTTTCTGTCAGCCTGGAACTCTGTGCTCTTATTCCTCAAGCTAGTAAAACTCACCGCTTTACTCGTAGACATCTAATTTTGCACAGACTGGGAAGCGTCATCAGGTGTGAAGTTGCCTTGATGCAAATTTAAATCATTGCAATTTTCTTTATTCAATGGTCAAATACTTCATCATTAGTGGAGTATTCTACTATTTCTGCCTGTTTTCTGTTTCTCATTACCATCAAATGTGTATTTAATTTTTTTAGAGTTAATAGTTTTTTCCCTGCATTTGGTTTAGACCTGAGCTACTACCATATTTTGTAATTCAAACTTTTTGTCTAACAATGTTTTAGAAAACTCTTTATTTGGAGGGAATTCTCAAACTTCTAAATACTCTACAAACATTAGGATCAGGGCTCACATTCCCAGTTTCCCTTGTAGCCAGATGTACATATGGAACATGGCCTCAGCTAATGAAGCATACCCACATATTTGAAAGTAAGAAAAGTGTTAAGAGGAACTGTAGATATCATTTTAGTTGATGCAAGGATGGAAAAAAATAACCAACTTTCACTGGTGAACTTTGTCTTCAATCATTGTTTTCCCGTGGGTAAGTGGCTAATTTTCTGGCCTAGAGGTGGAATTGGGGTGTTGGTAACAATTGATTTGATGATAACCTGCTTTTGTCTTTTTAAAAATTGCTAATCTACCATTGTTTCTGGTCCTGTTTTATATTTATGCAGTGTATAATGTCTCATGCAAAATTTAGTTCTTTGTTTCTCAGCTTAAACTGGATTTTGATGGGCAGTTTTCACCTTCAAATGAAAGAAATGGCTTTGGTTGATGTTAGACAAAAATAACAAGAAGAAATTAAAGAAATATGTTTGTCCTCTTGTAACATTAAATAAATGAAACTGAAAATTCAATAATTCTGCTTCATAAAAAAATAGAAAGTTTCTACTGGTTTTCATTATTTTTGAAGCTGTATCATTAAATGAAATTTCTGCCTCATGGAAGGTTTTTAGAACTATGTAATAATACCATACAGACCATTAGGAGAGAAATGAATAAAGACTGAAAGAAGTAAGCACTGTGTGGTAACATAGATGGCGCACAGTTGTGTGCGTGGAGCCCTAATACATTTGACCATGGAATTTATACAATAAATGTTAGTTTCCTGTGAACCTGCTAATTAATATGACTTTTGCAGACATTTCCTTAACCTAAACAGTTTGGGTTTCCTGTATATAGACTGCATGTATTCTCACCTTTAACCTTTCCATAATCTTCCCTAATTACAGATGTCATTGGTTCTTAACAGCAAAAGAACAGCAGTAGCTTATAAAGTTATATTATTTGTTTTTTACTAATATGTGAAGTGATTTTGTCTTTCATTTCACCTGTAGAGCTAATTATGTCTTCTAGGTTAACAAAAATTCCAGATCATACCATCATTAGTTTAAACTTTACAATGAAATCATTATTTCTATTTATTACTAGCCTGCATTATAGCAATATTTAGCTAATGAATTCTCAAAATATTTCTTGAAAGGTGAAAGAGTACCTCAAGTAAATGGTGTAATTTATTTATTTATCAGAATTTTAAATTAATTGTTCTGTTTAATCTCAAAGGGGTACCAATGAAGTCAGGGCATAAGGAGTCCGTGGTTAATAAAATGGCAAGAATTAAAAAGGATTATTACATTTTTTCCTCATACTATGATGCCTATAATTTTTTAAAACAGTAGAAATGTTTAATTTTTAAAGGCTACTAGTGTCTATTTCATTCAAAGATGTGAGCTCTTCAGTTCAACTTGTTGTTTGAAATTTGAAAAGCTTTTTCTTGCTCTTGTTCAATACAGTTATTTAACAGTCCAGGCAGGCCTCTGGAGTTACATATATGTATGTGGCTATGCGTGTATATATACACAGAAGTACAAATAGCATATAAACAATTTACATAAGACTTTTGCTTTTGATGAAAATTCTTCTAAAAGTGAATATAAATTAATAGCATATGGAGCCTACAAAAATTGTCTAATAGGGAACTAGGAAAAGATAATTTGTGCAGAAAGAGTTCGCTAAAACAGACTTTTTATTTTTACATGTAATAACATTATATTGAAGGGTTTCCAGAAGTATAAAATGTTATAGGGCACTTATCCTGAGACACACGAAGGAGACAAGGGATAGAGCTAGGATGGAAGTGAAAATAAAGGACAAATAGAGATAGATACTTAAGTGGAAATGAAACACTGCATGTTCTCACTCATAGGTGGGAATTGAACAATGAGAACCCATGCACACAGGGAGGGGAACATCACACACCAGGGCCTGTTGCGGGGTGGGGGGAGGGGGTAGGGATAGCATTAGGAGATATACCTAATGCTAAATGACGAGTTAATGGGTGCAGCACACCAACATGGCACATGTATACATATGTAACTAAACTGCACGTTGTGCACATGTGCCCTAAAACTTAAAGTATAAAAAAAAAATCATCAAACAGGTGGTAATTTCAAAACATGGCTTTTTCAGGCAGCAAATTTTCTGAATGTATCGCAAAAGAAGATAAATTGCATGTCTATGTAGATCATGTCAATGAAATAAACAATAAAGTTACTTATTCGAATATTGAAAGTGGTTGATAGTAAATAAATTATTTATATTTATGGTAAAAGCAATAAACTTGATTTTTAGGGGGTTCAATGACTTCCTGAAAATATCCTCTCACAGATTTTCTCAGAGTGTCTAGTTGGCAAAAGCGCAGCTCCAAATAGCTATTTCTGTCAACGTCTACAGAACATTTACAGTTTGATTTCCAAAAGTTTCCATTTCTACTGACCTTACAAATTTGTAAAGTGAATGCCCACCATGACAAAATATTAAGTGATAAAATTAATTGCATCCTACAAGTGAAAATCTAGGCAAGGAAAATCTTCTTCCTTCTTAATGAATGATTTTTATGTCTCTTCATTCTTGTCCTTCTAGGTAAAGCAACACTCTGGAGACCTTCTTTTGAGGCATTTCACCACCAGAGTAAGTGTGATGTATGAGTAATTAGTCCACCCACAGGGAGCTGGTGAAATTAAATGGGAAGTTATTTCCTAACTGGCATATCTTGGAGTAAAATTAATCTAATAACAGCTTTCATAAGAGAACATAAGCTTAAAAGACAACATTTTTCATTCAACTTTACCAAACAAAGTGCAAATTTAGGTGTCCAGTTGTGAAGTTTGGTTGTGTGTGGATTGTACGGTGAAGGTACCAGTGGACAACAGTTCCTCATCAAGCAAGTTTATACAAAAGCTTTTGGACAAGTCCAACTCTAGATAAAATTCGAAAGTATTTCATGCTTGTGTTCAGAGTTTCTTTTTCTCTCTCCAAGGTAACCCACATATCAAAAGACATATGGGTTGTGGGTAGAACTTCCTAAAATTGCTGGTGAGAAGTGTGCCATGCATAAACATACTTCACTAGCTTGAATTTTCTGTTAGTCTCACAGGCAACAATTACAATCCTGTATGTTTTTCTATCTCCAGACACTCCTGAACATAAAAAGACCAAGTAACATCCCTGGTTAAGATGTGTACAGGTTCCAAGACATGTCTAAATATATTCACCAAGAGGTTTATTATTTTCACAGTGGCATTCACTAAATCAGTTGTCAGTGTAGCATTACTCAAGGAATATGCAGGGTCTTTAATTTATCAAAGTTTGGAGTGCACCCCAAGTTGGATCACTGAAGCACATAACTATAGATAAGGTCACTCAGAAGCACAAATCCAGGTAATAAATATCCACTAGTAGTTTATATGCATTTAGCAATTTGAATGCTGTGAAGTGTAGCCCAGAAAATCAATCGACATGGAGCTATTAAAGAGGCATTCATGGCACCTGCACTTTGAATCTCTTCAGACTCAGGTTAAACAGGAGACATGGTAGCTCATATATACTGCAAAAACCCTTCCTCTTTCCCTTTTTATCTATGAACCTGCCCTTTTCAATGTTATCTAGATGCCTGAAGGTATGAATACCCTTGATCTTGGTAAAAAATGGTACCACCCATCAGCAAAATCTCACTGATCAGTGTCTATGTTACCTCACTGAGTTAGCCTTTTGTGTTGTTGTGGCCCAGAATGACAATGTTGACACAATCCAAACCAGTAGTTGGAAAGTTAATGTTGGATGCATCTTTGACAATTGATGGAATGACCTGAAATCAAATGTGAGGCAGTGGAAACACAAGAATGCTATTCAGGAAGTTAATGATCTGTGGAGGTACTAAATGAAATATCTGGAAGGAATTGTAATCTTGCAACTATGCTTTTATGTGTTTTTTGACATAAACAGTTTCTATTTATGGTGGAGCTAGAGTTTCCATTTCCCATGAAGTTCCCATAGTGTTAACTAATACAGTCATGTGTCACTTAATGACAGGGGTGTGTCTGAGAAATGCATTGCTGGACAATTTTATTATTGTATGAACATCACAGAGTTTACTTACACAAACCTAGATGCTATAGCTGATTACATACCTAGGTTAGGTGGTATAGCCTATTCCTCCTAGGCTACAAACCTGTGCAGCATATTACTGTACTGAATACTGTAGGCAATTGTAACACAACAGTCAAGTATATCTATACTTACTTATATCTATACAGTAAGTGTATCTATACATGTCTAAACATACAAGAGGTACAGTACAAATACAGTGTTATGATTTTATTGCACCACTGTCATACAAGTGCACTATCCTTGACCAAAATGTTGTTATGTGATGCATGATTGTAACAAAAGAATTAATTAAATATAATATCGAAGTGCCTATTGAGATTTCAATGAAGAAAGGAATATTTGTAAATTCTGATTACCTTAAGTGGGAATTGACTTTCTTCCTGTTTCCATGGCTGTTCTTGTGAAAGAGCATAGCTTTCCAAAGACCTGAAATCTCTGACAAATCTTGTAATTCTCTATAGCCTGCATTATGAAGGTCACCTGGTATCAAAAGGGGCAAAATGGTAGATTATAAAGACCTGTACTTTCTTGTCACTTCCTAAACATAGCAAGCATTGGTCTATCTTGAACATTTCTGCAGTTATAAATGAGCCTTGGGTCATGATTTTCTGCCTTTTTATCATAGACAAGATTTAATTTAGGAGATGTCCTTTTAATGTGTAATGTGAATAGTAAGTGACACTTATGAAACCTATTTTCTTCCAGCCATTTTAATTGTCAAATCTGTCCAGTCAAGATGCAATGTTAGAGGCTTCACTGACAACACCGTCTCTCTCTGTGTGTGTGTGTGTGTGTGTGTGTGTGTGTGTGTGTGTATACATACATATGATTGAGCAGGATTTATTGTAAGTCAAAACAGTCTCAAATTTCTTAGGACAATACAGCTTCCTTGGCCATTCCCTTGGAGCTCTGAGTTGAGGAGCTGGTGATGTGTATTTCTTTTGCATGTTCTCCACATTATCCCTATGCAGGCCTTCCATGGGCTTGGTTTTGGAACCAGTGATGAAGAAGATCATTAGAATTGTTGTTCTCAAAAAGATTCCTCCATTCTTCTGTATAAGCAATGGCAATTTTCCCAGACCAATATTTCTTCTTTTGAAATGGTAAATTTTGAATATTAACTGGTTAGTATAATCCCATAAAATAACAAAGTTTGAGCCCTATGATCTGTGTTTTAGGCTCAAGTTGTGTTTTATGCTAAATCATCATTTACTCCTTGTATGATCTTTTTTTTTTTTTGAGACAGAGTCTCACACTGTCACTCAGGCTGGAGTGCAGTGGCACAATTTTGGCTTACAGCAAGCTCCGCCTCCCAGGTGCACACCATCCTTCTGCTTCAGCCTCCTGAGTAGCTGGGACTACAGGTGCCCGCCACCACACCCGGCTAATTGTTTTTTAAGATTAAGGATGAAATAAAAGCTGCTCCCCTATATTACATTCATAAATCAGAATTATTAAAGCAAGCTATTTATTTATTAGAAACACATACTCCAAATTTAGCATCTAAGACATGACAGTCTTTCAAGAGACATCAATTTACTTTTTAGGGACTATAGCTGTATTTGTATTCATGTTATTGGTGTCCATAATATTTCATTAGATGTTCTGGGTAAATTGATAAATGAAAATAATATATGTGATAAGGAGAACAACCTAGGCCTCCTGGAGGGCCCCTTACAACTCAGCTGGTGTTAGCAGAAATGCCTGGGAGTAACAGTGAGAAACAACCTTTCAAAAGTGTTGAGCAATTTTTCAGGCAGAGGACTATATATACCAATCCAGGCAGCAAGATAAGTGGAGGTCAGTTAAAAGATCAGTATGTGATTACATTTTTTTTTTTAGGTTTCTACTGAGAGGAAATATAACACTCAGTTATTATTTTCTCCACATATCTCTGGTTATTTTGTCACAACCTTTTATGTAAGCTACTACCAAACACTGGTTTATCCAAGATCTATGGGTCGTATTCAATATTTGCTTTTCCCTCAACTACTAACACATTTGATTCCGTTTGTAACTTTCTCCCCTATTTCTCCTTTCAACCTGTTTTCTCCAACCACACTGAGTTAATAAGCCTCCTATATACTCTCATACCCTGTTTTATCTAAAGAGATTTCCTTTTTCTACTATTATACCCATCTCATTCCCTAATTTATTTATTCTTATTTCTCACTCTATTTTTATTCTTTTAGGCACAGCTCATGTCTCATGACTTTCAAAAAGTTTTTCTTCTGATATTCCCAGCTCGAATTAGGTACATCCCAATCAGTTTCCTTAGACTTACAACTCTGCATATTATTGGCTTACAATCTGTCTTAGGCTGGGAATTAGCTCCTTGTAGGCAGGGGCTAGAATTTATTTACTCTTATGTCCATAATGCCTGACACAGGAACTATTCTCATATACAAATTGTAGGGTCATAATTCCTGAGAACATATGTACATTGTAGTGACTCATAAAGGCTTGAAATAAATTTTTAAAATGATTAATTGGGAAGTCCATGAACTTGACATCTTGATGTAGAAGAAAAGCAAGGGCAGATGAAGAAGTTATACAGGATACTTGAAATACCAGAAGAATATAATCAGAGAGCAATACATTAATCCTAGATTTTTAGATGTGAAGAAGTTCTGAGAAATATTTGAAGACATGGCTCTAGGGATGAGTACATAACAGAGACCAGTAGCCAGAGTCAGAGCTTTTCAGAGTGAAGAAATTGCATTGCGGGGGGAAGGACTCTTGTATACTAAATAGAAATTGTCATTAAATGGAGACTAAGCAAGAGGCTGATGATCTGTGGATGACAGACGCAGAAAGGTGTGGAGATAGAGGTAAATGCCATAATCTACAAAGAAGATATTTTTGTGCCAGAAAGAAATAATAGGTCTAGAACGTAATAAAAGATAAATAGTTAACTACATTGCAATGTGGTCTGAGAACTCACTGAAGGCATAGCCATTGATATTAACTTCCACTTCGCTTCCAGACAAAAGATTTTAAATATCTTAAAAATTCCATTTGATATTGTATGATTCATCAAGACAGAAAGTAAAGCTGTAGTTGCCCTGGGAGGGCGGGGAATGGGGAGTCACTTTTTAATGGATACAGGATTTCAATTTTACAAGACAAAAAGAATTATGGAGATGGGTGGTGGTGATGCTTGCACAACATTGTGAATACATTTAATGACACTGAATTGTATACTTAACAGTGGTTAAGATGCAAATTGTTGAGTGTGTTTTGCCACAGTTAAAAAATGGAAAACAATAGTATTTGAAGATATAGCCCATTTCATCTGGTAGCTAGCTGTATGTGTCTGCTCAGCTGTGGATAGATATTTATGCTGTTTCTGAACTGGAGGTTACTGGTATTCTCTAAGATATAGGAAAATTGATCTTATGTGGCTAACTGAGGTGGATATAGTTGTATCAGTCAGACAGTAATGATATAATCATGATAGTTTACATTTAACACAACTTACATGTGTTATACTTTAGAAAGCACTTCATTCATATTATTACTTCATACCATTTTCCCCTTACCATATTTGTCTCTCCTTTCTCTGCTGACTTCAGAAAATGTCTCTTCCACACTACTCAATTCATCTCCTTATTTTGTCAAAATTTTAAGTCTCAGAGTCTCCAAAAAAAAATTCCAGACAAGTCTCATCAGCTTTCAGTCATTGATTAATCGATATCCTTAGAGGCTTTCCCTTCCCCTTCTCAATTTAACATAGCTTCCAAATACACTTGCCAATAAAACAAAGTTGTTTATATGGTTTTGTATTTCTTCCTGCTGAATTATGAACATTTTTTCATATTGACATTGATTTCCATCTGGCCATGAAATACTCAAGGTGAAGAAAATGAAACAAAATTGTTAATATTTATCAAGAGCCAGGCACTGTTTTCAGTGTCCTAGAAGCATAAACTAGTGTAACGCTCACCAGATCATATGAGAGGCAAAAATGGATGAAACTATAAAATCAAGACACAGAGAGTTAAGGGAAATTTCCCAAGATCACACAGCCACTGAGGATATGAACTAGATTTTGACTTCAGGCTATTTATCCCAGAACCTGTGCTTTCAACCATCATTTGTACTGCTTCCCTAAATTACTCTTGAGTACACTGTGACATCATATTTCACCTATGACACTGATTATCTGGGGATCTTTGCAACTTATTCTGAATGTGATTCAGTTTTCTTTTCTGTACAGAGATAAAGTCAGTATATACTCCATAGATTTGTTATAAGGATTATATGAAATGACACAAGAGAAGGCTTTAAAAGGACTTGGAAAGAAATAAGCTTTTTTGTTTTCAATCATTTTTCAATAGGTTATCAGTGTTGTGAATGGTTCATGAAAAATGACTTTGGGCTCAGTGAGTAACTGAAATGTTGTTGCTTAATAGTGTGTTTAATATTAATATAATAGTAACAAATGTTGTTATTGTTGAGTAATACTTATTTGGTTTTTCACTGCTTTTCTTTTCTAGTGTTTTAGTCAGAGACTTCTTAAGTCTCCTCAAGTGTGTACACATTTCTTAAATTTGTTGGAAAGTACCAAATTTAAGATATCTTGCATTTTTTTCTTCCTTAGTAAACACTAAATTCCATCACGCAGCAGAAAAGGGGCTCTGTTATTGTTGGTACAATGGCTTAATATTCACTTTTATTCCCTGTATCGTAGTTCTGATATAATTGCTATTTAGAATAAAACTTGTTCCTTATTATATGCATTCGTAATTATAAAATTTGTGTTTTAATGCCTTCTACACATATACTGTGTTTTTCTTTATTTCCTTATATCTCTTACTGTTTCATGATCCTGGTATTTGAAATCTCATTAAGTGTTGTTTGGGGATTTGCTGGGAATGTCATCTACATAGTAATGTCTCAAGTTTGTAGCATCTTTAAAACATAATAGGAGGTGCAATTCACAGCAGAGTAATAACCATCCCACTTTAGGCAATGTATTTGTGATTGGTATGACTTTGTTCCCAGAGGGCAGTTAGCAACACAATATTAAGGCTATGTGTACAAGGAAAACAAATTTTAAAAATCTCCTTTAAAAAAAAACAGTTCCCGATCCTAACCAGTATCATGCACAGAATCCGTTTCCACCTCTTCATATGGAAGCAGCTCTGGGTGGACATCTAGAAAGTTGGATAACTATTTATCACATATGATCTGTAAAGGGAGAGATTTACAAGAAAGTGTTAAATTTAATCCATAGGAAAGCAAAATCAAAAATCAATGAATTTTCCATTTGTAGTTTTCCCTAGGGGCTCCACTCTCTAGATGGCTTAAATGCGTTAGAATTAAATGACTAGGCACAATTGTTTGTTAGTGACATAAAAGCAAGGTAAGCATTTCTGCTTTATGAGTCCAAGCACAGGGACACTTGGTTTTCTTTGGAAGGATATCATAAAGGCAATGTTTATGAGTAATCCCTCATTGTCTTTCCTTCTGTAGCATTCAATGGTATGTACTATAATTTAGAAATGAAAACTACTTAAAGACCACTTGCTAAGTTTCATGTATTTCAAATTCTCAGATCCTGAGTGTTTAAATATGCCTATATTTCTTCATGAAAAAAAACATAATCTTTGCCAAGTTAGAAAAAGAAAGTCATATTCCCATTTTTAACTCAATGTAATCAGAAATTTGGACAGTTTATAGCCTTCAATACATTATGTAATTTAGGTAACAGGCTGAATAAAAGTAAGGAACCTCAGTTAAATTCAGAGAGAAGCTAGTAATTATTTCTAAGACTCAAATGTATAGAACAGATCTCTGATATTAAGGATAAGACCCTCAAGGTGACCCAAAATGTGTAATTGTGGGATTATTTTGGGAGGAATCATCATAGATTCTTACTGCTATAAATACAGTCAAATGTCAGATAAATATACTCCACTGAAATGTTTTCTAGGAATGATGTTGGAACCAATGTTGGTAACTTTGAAAGTCATGGAGAGGATTTCAGATGATAGAAGTCGGGCAACTATCCCAGGTTTAATAAATAAGCAAATGGTGAGTTCCAAAAATGCTGTATCAATGAGCCTCATATTGATCCTGAGCACAATTTCAGGAAGGTCCATTAAATGGGTCTTTGGAGAGCACTTAGGATAAAAGGCTGGCAGCAGGGATTCACTAAGAGCAATGGTGCCAAGCTTGCCTCTTTGACATTGTTATCTGACTGATAAAGGTAGGCTATAGCGGTACACAATACAGATATTTCCAGGGTAAAGCTGTTGAGCTGCTGTAATTTTCCTTGCCTCTTCACTATCTTCTCCTATAGTTGACTCCCAAGGAAAAGATAGTTGACCTTTAATCTAGAAATGTATGTTAATTGGAAAAACAAACAAATGAAACCAAAAACTATCCTTTAGGCTTCTCTCTGCTCAGTTATTAGATCATATGAATGTGCCCTTAGGAAACACAGAAGGCCCACACTATTATAGAGACAAATTTCTTACATTCTCTGCTGTTTAATGCTCTTCAAAAGACTTACCATACTTCGCTAATTTGATTACCAACTACTTGAACACAGGGACCAATGTGCTTATTAAAAATTTTGCATATTATGAGGGCATTAACTTTTAAGTATTCGATTGTTAAGACAATGCATATTATTATAAACCATAGAAGGCACACTTATTACCTCCTTAAGAACCAGTCTCTATTTCTCTGGTTCATAGAACTCCAAGGTCATAAAGGGATTGGACATTTGTGTCTTCAATTGGCCCTCTTCAGCCCTAGGATAAATAGTGATTAATCTAAGCCAATGGTTTTCGTCTCTGTCTGACCCAATGCCTCTACTTCATAAGAAATTCTTCAAAGACCCCTTCACTATTCTAAACTATTAGTGAGAACACAATGTATGCATTCAAGTTGTTGAAAATATTAATGTTATGCTGAAGCTAACAAAGGAGAAATAATTTACTGTCAATATATGATCCAAAATGTATATAATTGTGCCAGAACATTTACATATCAAATAAAATAGAACATAATGATATTTTCATATCTTCGCCCATACCTTGAAACATTGTAAATAAAAAACTACAAATATAGTTTCATTGAATAACCAAATGCCAAAACTGCCATTTCTGTTTTTGACATGATTGATCTGCATTGGTAAATGTAATAGATACTTTCTGTTTGGCCCTTGTCCCCTGTTATACTCCCCTATTTACTGGCTTTTGTCCAAGTGGAATGGTCCATGTTGAATATCTCAATCTGTTCCCTTGCTCATTGCCTTCTATGCATGTTCATGAGATTAAAGGGAAGGAGGAAATGGGATTGGGGGTTATTGCCTAAACTCCCTCTCTGCTAGGTCTCCTTGACCAATCTTTTTCATAAGAAAATTAGTGTTTCCTTGCGTGATCAGGGAAGTTTACTCCCCAGAACTCTGCCTGCTGCTACTAACCCAGAGTTATTGTGGGGTGTGATTTCTGTGATTCCTTCACCCTTCTCCCCTGACATTTTCGTAAGTAGTCTCTTTGGAAATAAACCCATGTTAAATTATCTTAGTTTGAGTGTGTTCTGTTTTTCCTATTGAGACTCTGAAATGAGTATCTAAATGAAAAAATCTACCATCTTTTCTCATATACATAGTAGTTTCATTCTTGCAAAATTCATGGCATATTAAAACCATGCAAAAGTACTTGGCACTTAGGCAGTTACATTTGGGATTGTATAATTAAACAAAGCAGGTTATTCACCTTCATTACATTAGAAAGTCATTCAGGACATACAGCAATCCTTAATTAGGAACGGCTATCCCATGTTACTGGACATATGGCATCCCTGTTTTCCAATCCTTAAAGTTTTTCCTTAAAGTTCCAAAATGCCGTCACTTATTATTTCCTGCCATTGGATTTTGTCACATGAAGTTGTAAGGCTGGGAATGCCATAGCCATCTTGAAAACATAGGTAGAAAGATAAGAGAATCACAAAGTGGATCATGTTGAATTAAGTAAGCATTGATACCATCTATTTGTTGTGCGATTTGGTAAAAGTTGCTCCTTGTTTTTTTCTTTAATTAGTTGACTATTCTGTTACTTGAAGCTGAAAACTTTTTTTCTTTTCTTTCCTTCTTTTTTTTTTTTTTTTGACAGAATCTTACTCAGTTGCCCAGGCTGGAGTGCAGTGGCTTGATCTTGGCTCACTGCAACCTCTGCTTGCCTAGTTCAAGCAATTCTCACACCTCAGCCTCCCTAGTAGCTGGGAATACAGGCACATGCCACCACACTCAGATGATTTTTGTATTTTTAGTAGAGATGGGGTTTCACCCTGTTTGCCAGGCTGGTCTCAAACTCCTGACCTCAAGCGATCTGCCCACCTCAGCCTACCAAAGTGCTGGGATTACAGGTGTAAGCCACTGACCCTGCCCAAAAACACTTTAACCAATAGCAAAGCACATTATTTCATTACATTTTTTCAAAAGTTGCCAGTAATTTCAATTAAAAATATATATAACATGTTTAATGCAATACAAATGCTTTTCAATGTACAATGGGGTTAAGTCTTGATAAGCTGATTATAAATTGAAAATACAGTAAGTTAAAAATGTATTTAATACCTAACTTACTGAATATCACAGCTTAGCCTGGCATACCTTTAATGTGCTCAGAACACTTACATCAGCTGACAATTGGGCAAAATCATTGAATACAAAACCCACTTTATAATAAAGTTTTGGATATTTTATGTAATTTGTTGAATATTGTACTGAAAGTGAAAAGCAGAATGGTTATATTCTATTCAAAGCTATCACTTTTGCTTCATCATAAAGTAAAAAAAATCATAAATTGAACCATTATAATTTGTTGACCATCTGTGTATATGTATGTGTGTGTGTACCTATATAAACATGTATGTTTATATATATATTTGTGTGTGTATATATCCTCGGTGTGTGGGTATGTATGTTTGAGAGTGTGTGTGTGTATGAAATTGTAGGAAAGTAAAATTTCTTATCTTATAGATATAGCATGTTAACATGTTGGTACCTATCTTCCTGAGATGTAAAATTTTACATGGATAGATGTGTACATTTACTGTTGTACACAAAGAGAAACATATTCTGTAGGCTCTTTGTTTTTCTGTAATTTCATTCAACACTATGTGGTTTATATGGATGATTACATATATAATGCTAGGATGAAGGTTCTTCTCTATAACTTTGAAACTTCCTTGATTATCAACCCTTGGTATATTCTTAGAATAGGATTTTATTTTAGAATTAAGATCCTTGTTTCAGGACTCTAGACTGTTAACACACAGAGTCAATAATTATTCAGAATGGTTGGGTTAGTTCACATTCCCACAGATGAGACATCAAATGTCCAGGCTGCACAGCCTCATTAACACTAGATTTTCTGGACATTTTATGTAGTATTTCATCTGATATAAAAAGTAGAATTCTAATTTAATTATGGTTGCTAATTTATTTTTATCTTTTTAGTCATTATGAAAATGTTTAACTATATGAAAAGCTAGGAAAGAGTTTTATTTTTTAAGGTAGTACTTCAGAAATATTTGTGATACTTAATTTTTAAAAATTAACTCTAAAAAATCTTGAAATGTCTGTTTAATGAAATAGGACATAAATACTGGTCACATTAGTGAAAAATATTTGTTTAAAATTAAAATATCTGTATCAATCCTGTAGATATTAATAATTTTTAAAGAATGACATCTTTAAAATATAAATGTTCTAAACTTATAATCAGTTAAATATGTCTCTATTAATACATATAGATACGTATATCTAAATAAATTTGAAGACTTCAAATTCCAGGTACAATATAATTCTTTTCTATCCTGTGATTTGTCATTCAGTATTTTGTAATTTGAACAGAAATATTTTGCCCTAACCACATGTCTGTATTTTCTCTTACCTAGAAATGTTATTTTATGCAAAATTGTTTTAAAGGTCAGTTTGCATGTTTGAAAACATCTTGTAGAATGTTACATAATATATTGCATATTTGGTTACATTGTTTTAACTGTGAAAATATGGTTTAAATCTATGATGCTCTTTAGTGCTGATCATGATGCAAAGCAAATTTATCTGTATAAAAGTCTCCTGTTAATTTTTTTTATTATTATATTTTAAGTTTTAGGGTACATGTGCACAACGTGCAGGTTTGTTAGATATGTATACATGGGCCAGGTTGGTGTGCTGTACCCATTAACTCGTCATTTAACATTAGGTATATCTCCTAATGCTATCCTTCCCCCCTCCCCCCACCCCACAACTGTCCCCAGTGTGTGATGTTCCCCTTCCTGCATCCATGTTTTCTCATTGTTCAATTCCCACCTATGAGTGAGAACATGTGGTGTTTGGTTTTTTTCCTTGCAATAGTTTGCTGAGAATGATGGTTTCTAGCTTCATCCATGTCCCTACAAGGGACATGAACTCAACATTTTTTATGGCTGCATGGTATTCCATGTTTTATATGTGCCACGTTTTCTTAATCCAATGTATCATTGTTGGACATTTGTGTTGGCTCCAAGTCTTTGCTATTGTGAATAGTGCCACAATAAACATACATGTGCTTGTGTCTTTATAGCAGCATGATTTTAATCCTTTGGGTATATACCCAGCAATGGGATGGCTGGGTCAAATGGTATTTCTAGTTCTAGATCCCTGAGGAATCACCACACCGAGTTCCACAATGGTTGAACTAGTTTACAGTCCCACCAACAGTGTAAAAGTGTTCCTATTTCTCCACATCCTCTCCAGCACCTGTTGTTTCCTGACTTTTTAATGATGGCCATTCTAACTGGTGTGAGATGGTATCTCATTGTGGTTTTGATATGCATTTCTCTGATGGCCAGTGATGATGAGCATTTTTTCATGTGTCTTTTGGCTGCAAAATGTCTTCTTTTGAGAAGTGTCTGTTCATTTCCTTTGCCCACATTTTGATGGGGTTGTTTGTTTTTTTCTTGTGAATTTGTTTGAGTTCATTGTAGATTCTGGATATTAGCCCTTTGTCAGATAAGGAGGTCGCAAAACTTTTCTCCCATACTGTAGGTGGCCTGTTCACTCTGATGGTGGTTTCTTTTGCTGTGCAGAACCTCCTTAGTTTAATTAGATCCCATTTGTCAATTTTGGCTTTTGTTGCCATTGCTTTTGGTGTTTTAGACATGAAGTCTCTGCCAATGCCTATGTCCTGAATGGTATTGCCTGGTTTTTCTTCTAGGGTTTTTATGGTTTTAGGTCTAACATGTAAGTCTTTAATCCATCGTGAATTAATTTTTGTATAAGGTGTAAGGAAGGGATCCAGTTTCAGCTTTCTACATATGGCTAGCCAGTTTTCCCAGCACCATTTATTAAATAGGGTATCCTTTCCCTAGTTCTTGTTTTTGTCAGGTTTGTCAAAGATCAGATAGTTGTAGATATGTGGCATTATTTCTGAGGGCTCTGTCCTGTTCCATTGGTCTATATCTCTGTTTTGGTACTAGTACTATGCTGTTTTGGTTACTGTAGCCTTGTAGTATAGTTTGAAGTCAGGTAGCATGATGCCTCCACCTTTGTTCTTTTGGCTTAGGATTGACTTGGCAATGTGGGCTCTTTTTGGTTCCATATGAACTTTAAAGTAGTTTTTTTCCAATTCTGTGAACAAAGTCATTGGTAGCTTGATGGAGATGGAATTGAATCTATAAATTACCTTGGGCAGTATGGCCATTTTCACGATATTGATTCTTCCTACCCATGAACATGGCATGTTCTTCCATTTGTTTGTATCCTTTTTTATTTCATTAAGCAGTTGTTTGTAGTTCTCCTTGAAGAGATCCTTCACTTCCCTTGTAAGTGGTATTCCTAGGTATTTTATTTTCTTTGAAGCAATTGTGAATGGGAGTTCACTCATGATTTGGCTCCCTGTTTGTCTGTTATTGGTGTATAAGAATGCTTGTGATTTTTGCACATTGATTTTGTATCCTGAGACATTGCTGAAGTTGCTTATTAGCTTAAGGAGATTTTGGGCTGAGACGATGGGGTTTTCCACATACACAGTCATGTCATCTGCAAACAGGGACAATTTGACTTCCTCTTTTCCTAATTGAATGCCCTTTATTTCCTTCTCCTTCCTGATTGCCCTGGCCAGAACTTCCAACACTATGTTGAATAGGAGTGGTGAGAGAGGGCATCCCTGTCTTGTGCCAGTTTTCAAAGGGAATGCTTCCAGTTTTTGCCCATTCAGTATGATATTGGCTGTGGGTTTGTCATAGATAGCTCTTATTATTTTGAGATACATCCTATCAATCCCTAATTTATTGAGAGTTTTTAGCATGAAGGTTTGCTGAATTTTGTCAAAGGCCTTTTCTGCATCTATTGAGATAATCATGTGTTTTTTGTCTTTGGTCCTGTTTATACGCTGGATTACGTTGACCGATTTTCATATGTTGAACCAGCCTTGCATCCCAGGGATGAAACCCGCTTGATCATGGTGGATAAGCTTTTTGATGTGCTGCTGGATTTGGTTTGCCAGTATTTTATTGAGGATTTTTGCATCAATGTTCATCAAGGATATTGGTTTAAAATTCTCCTTTTTTTGTTTTGTTTCTGCCAGGCTTTGGTATCAGGATGATGCTGGCCTCATAAAATGAGTTAGGGAGGATTCCTTCTTTTTCTATTGATTGGAATAGTTTCAGAAGGAATTGTACCAGTTCCTCCTTGTACCACTGGTAGAATTCGGCTTTGAATCCATCTGGTCCTGGACTTTTTTTGGTTGGTAAGCTATTAATTATTGCCTCAATTTCAGAGAGTGTTATTTGTCTATTCAGAGGTTCAACTTCTTCCTGGTTTAGTCTTGAGAGAGTATATGTGTCAAGGAATTTATCCATTTCTTCTAGATTTTCTAGTTTATTTGTGTAGAGGTGTTAATAGTATTCTCTGATTGTAGTTTGTATTTCTGTGGAGTTGGTGGTGATATCCCCTTTGTCAATTTTTATTGCATCTATTTGATTCTTCTCTCTTTTCTTCTTTATTGGTTTTGCTAGTGGTCTGTCAATTTTGTTGATCTTTTCAAAAAACAGCTTCTGTATTCATTGATTTTTTGAAGGGTTTTTTGTGTCTCTATTTCCTTCAGTTCTGCTCTGATCTTAGTTACTTCTTGCCTTCTGCTAGCTTTTGAATGTGTTTGCTCTTGCTTCTCTAGTTCTTTTTATTGTGATGTTAAGATGTCAATTTTATTTCTTTCCTGCTTTCTCTTGTGGGCATTTAGTGCTGTAAATTTCCCTCTTCACACTGCTTTGAATGTGTCCCAGAGGTTCCGGTATGTTGTGTCTTTGTTCTTGTTGGTTTCAAAGAACATCTTTATTTCTGCCTTCATTTCCTTATGTACCCAGTAGTCATTCAGGAGCAGGTTGTTCAGTTTCCATGTAGTTGAGTGGTTTCGAGTGAGTTTCTTAATCCTGAGTTGTAGTTTGATTGCACTGTGGTCTGAGAGACAGTTTGTTATACTTTCTGTTCTTTTACATTTGCTGAGGAGTGCTTTACTTCCAACTATGTGGTCAATTTTGGAATAGGTGTGGTGTGGTGCTGAAAAGAATACATATTCCATTGATTTGGGATAGAGAGTTCTGTAGATGTCTATTAGGTCTGCTTGGTGCAGAGCTGAGTTCAATTCCTGTATATCCTTGTTAATTTTCTGTCTCGTTGATCTGTCTAATGTTGACAGTGGGGTGTTAAAGTCTCCCATTATTATTTTGTGGGCGTCTAAGTCACTTTGTAGATCACTAAGGACTTGCTTTATGAATCTGGGTGCTTCTGTATTGTGTGCATATATATTTAGGATAGTTAGTTCTTGTTGAATTGATCCCTTTACCATTATGTAATGGCCTTCTTTGTCTCTTTTGATCTTTGGTGGTTTAAAGTCTGTTTTATCAGAGACTAGGATTGCAACCCCTGCCTTTTTTTGTTTTCCATTTGCTTGGTAGATCTTCCTCCATCCCTTTATTTTGAGCCTATGTGTGTCTCTGCAGGTGAGAAGGGTTTCCTGAATACAGCACACTGATGGGTCTTGACTCTTTATCCAATTTGCCAGTCTGTGCCTTTTAATTGGAGCATTTAACCCATTTACATTTAAGCTTAGTATTGTTATGTGTGAATTTGATCCTGTCATTATGATGTTAGCTGGTTATTTTCCTCGTTAGTTGATGCAGTTTCTTCCTAGCCTTGATGGTCTTTACAATTTGACATGTTTTTGCAGTGGCTGGTACCAGTTGTTCCTTTCCATGTTTAGTGCTTCCTTCAGGAGCTCTTTTAGGGCAGGCCTGGTGGTGACAAAATCTCTCAGCATTTGCTTGTCTGTGGAGTATATTATTTCTCCTTCACTTATGAAGCCTAGTTTACCTGAATATGAAATTCTGGGTTGAAAATTATTTTCTTTAAGAATGTTGAATATTGGCCCCCACTCTCTTCTGGCTTGTAGAGTTTCTGAGGAGAGATCAGCAGATTGTCTGATGGGCTTCCTTTTGTGGGTAACCTGACCTTTCTCTTGGCAGCCTTTAAAATTTTTTCATTCATTTCAACTTTGGTGAATCTGACAATTATGTGTCTTGGAGTTGTTCTTCTCGAGGAGTATCTTTGTGGCATTCTCTGTATTTCCTGAATTTGTATGTTGGCCTGCCTTACTAGATTGGGGAAGTTCTCCTGGATAATATCCTGCAGAGTGTTTTCCAACTTGGTTCCATTCTCCCCGTCACTTTCAGGTACACCAATTAGACATACATTTGGTCTTTTCACATAGTCCCATATTTCTTGGAGGCTTTGTTCATTTCTTCTATTCCTTTTCCTCTAAACTTCTCTTCATGCTTTATTTCATTCATTTCGTTTTCCATCGCTGATACTCTTTCTTCCAGTTGATCACATCGGTTACTGAGGCTTATGCATTTGTCATGTAGTTCTTGTGCCATGGTTTTCAGCTCCATCAGGTCCTTTAAGGACTTCTCTGCATTTGTTATTCTAGTTATCCATTCGTCTAATTTTTTTTCAAAGTTTTTAACTTCTTTGCCACTGGTTCGAACTTCCTCCTTTAGCTCGGAGTACTTTGATCTTCTGAAGCCTTTCTCTCTCAACTCGTCAAAGTCATACTCCGTCCAGCTTTGTTCCATTGCTGGTGAGGAGCTGCATTCCTTTGCAGGAGGAGAGGCACTCTGATTTTTAGAGTTTCCAGGTTTTCTACTCTGTTTTTTCCCATCTTTGTGGTTTTATCTTCCTTTGGTCCTTGATGATGGTGACATACAGATGGGGTTTTGGTGTGGATGTCCTTTCTGTTTGTTAGTTTTCCTTCTAACAGTCAGGGCCCTCAGCTGCAGGTCTGTTGGAGTTTACTGGAGGTCTACTCCAGACACTATTTGCCTGGGTATCAGCAGCGGTGGCTGCAGAACAGTGGATATTGGTGAACTGCAAATGCTGCTGCCTGATCGTTCCTCTGGAAGTTTTGACTCAGAGGGGTACCCGGCCATGTGAGATGTCAGTCTGCCTCTACTGGGGGGTGCCTCCCAGTTAGGCTACTCAGGGGTCAGGAACCCACATGAGGAGGCTGTCTGCCCATTCTCAGATCTCAAGCTGCATGCTGGGAGAACCACTACTCTCTTCAAAGCTGTCAGACAGGGATATTTAAGTCTGCAGAGGGTATTGCTGTCTTTTGTTTGTCTGTGTCCTGCCCCCAGAGGTGGAGCCTACAGAGGCAGGCTGGCCTCCTTGAGCTGTGTTAGGCTCCACCCAGTTCGAACTTCCTGGCTGCTTTGTTTACTTACTCAAGCCTGAGCAATGGCGGGAGCCCCTCCCCCAGCCCCACTGTAACCTTGCAGTTTGATCTCAGACTGCTGTGCTAGCAAACAGTGAGGCTCCGTGGGTGTAGGATCCTCCAAGCCAGGTGCTGGATACAATCTCCTGGTGTGCCATTTGATAAGCCTGTTGGAAAAGCGCAGTATTAGGGTGGGAGTGACCTGATTTTCCAGGTGCCATCTGTCACCCCTTTCTTTGACTAGGAAAGGGAATTCTCTGACCCATTCTGCTTCCCAGGTGAGGTGATGCCTTTCCCTGCTTTGGCTCATGCATGGTGCGCTGCACCCACTGTCCAGCACTCCCCAGTGAGATGAACCTGGTACCTCAGTTGGAAATGCAGATATCACCTGTCTTCTGCATCACTCACGCTGGCAGCTGTAGACTGGAGCTGTTCCTATTCGGCCATGTTGCCTCCATCCTCTAATTTTTAACTTTCAACTGATTAGATACATTTACCCTCTTCTGAATTTTAATTCCTGATGAAAAGATTGTGAAATCTCAAGAGGATAATGAATCAGCTTCTGATTATATTCTGGAATTACGATTTGATCACCCATCCAAGAATGCGTATTCACTTTCCTTTACATTACACACATGCATAATACCATGCTGAGTGATGCTGGAAAAAGTGAGTCTTCAGTAATGCCCTCATGAAATTACAGTCTCACTACACCGAGGTATTTTCTTTTTAACACATTTTTCTTTTCTGCTGTGAATATGTGCCTTCTAAGAGGTGAACAACTGGGAAAAACTGAAAAAGAACCTTCATCTAATTCAGTAACTAGCTTTTGTATCTTCTAAGAATTTTTATCTCCAGAAAGCTCTAATCTTCATTCCTTTACAAGCTTTATTTCTCTCTCCTTTCCAACACCAGACTTTTCTCTGTTTGTTTTCTATAACTTTTTTAGAGATGCCTACAATAGAAAAACACTATGACATATTCAATACATCTGAAAAGTTTGCATTGCCATAGATAAGAATGAATTATCTGTTTATAAAGAAAAAAACAATAAAAATATGAACCAAGAAAGCACAGAAGGTAGTAACCACATTTACATGTTTATCATGGAATCATCTTTATAATCCATCTGTTACAATTCCACAGAGCAAATTACAAGTAATTGTGAAGTTTCCCCTCATTTTATAGGTTTGGTCTTATAAGGCATACAACACAAATTTTAATTACTTTTCTTTTTGGTATTTGGATCTTAATTTGGTGAAGTGGCCACTGGGTAGATGATGGAGCCTCTTGAGACATACAGTCTTCTTCTAGCTTTGTTGATGTAAATATTACTGTGTAGTTTTCATTCACTTATTATTTTACAAGGCATGCTTCATTAAAAACATGTCAGCATCTCATTGACAAATCACAAAATTTAAAAGGCACAAGAAAAAAACAATTTATTTGAAACATTCCTGTGTAAAAGTAGTCACCACTCTTACTATTCTTCAAATATTTTTATTATATTTAAACACAAGCCTAGTTTTATCTTGAGTGTCTCACCTTGATGATATTGTACACTTTAAACTTAGAAAAACTTGAACTCTATTGGAAATTTCCTACAGATCAGCTTTTCTAGATGCCAAGCGCCTTGTTTCAGCTGTGGTGATGACAGCAAATTGGGTTCTCAGGGATTCTGGCCTCTGGCATCATCTCAGTTGTTTATAATTGAAGTTGGCTCTGATGAGAACTCAGCTTAGATGCATGGTTGGACTGCTGGGCTTAAGGCTGGCCTGCCAGCAGGTTGCATTGAGGTGTAACTAGGCAAAGAAAGAAGGAGTTTATTGAGGAACTACTGACAATAGCAAAGACTTGGAACCAACCCAAATGTCCAACAATGATAGACTGGATTAAGAAAATGTGGCACATATACACCATGGAATACTATGCAGCCATAAAAATGATGAGTTCATGTCCTTTGTAGGGACAAGGATGAAGCTGGAAACCATCATTCTCAGCAAACTATCACAAGGACAAAAAAACAAACACCACATGTTCTCACTCATAGGTGGGAATTAAACAATGAGTACACATGGACACAGGAAGGGGAACATCACACACCGGGGCCTGTTGTGGGGTGACGGGCTAGGGGAGGAAAAGCATTAGGGGATATACCTAATGTAAATGACGAGTTAATGGGTGCAACACACCAACATGTCACATGTATACATATGTAATGAACCTGCACGTTGTGCACATGTACCCTAGAACTTAAAGTAGAATAAAAAGAAAAGAAGGAGGTTGGGCAAAATTACCAACAATCTTCAACTATGAATTTTTATGAGTAGGGGCTTCCCACACCATCAGGCACTCCAAGTTGGAGAAACAAGGGATGTTGAATTGAAAGTTTAATTTTTTAGGCTTGATAGTCAGATTAGGGAAGTTTTGGGTACAGCTTTCCCACTCTAGAGTCCTCTCCCTAACTCACGGCCAATTTGGGACATGGGCTCAATGGAAAAGAGTGCCGAGATCAATTAGAAATATCCTTCATGAACATAGGAGGCAGGCATTCTGGCCAAGGGGTGTGTCTTCCCACTTTGTAATCCAGAGTGCGATTTCTTCTTGCTATCTGTCCCTCCGTAAATAAGCGTTGGGTGAAGGACAAGGTAGTTACAACTGAGGATGGAATGAGATTCTAGCAGAATTGCAAAATGAACTGAGAGCCACGAAAGTGTTCCTCTGTGAACCAGCAGAGAGATCTGTGGAAGGCAAAGGAAGTGGAGCCAAGAGGCCAGATAACATTCCTGCTTCCCCTACATTGTGAGAGTGAAATTATCAGCAACGTATATCAGTAACTAACCAGAGGCTTTTTGGAGAGTAAGACTTCTGATACATACCTCAATAGCTGAAGTTGCTCTTCAGTACTGCACATAACCTGTGGACAGATTTTCATCATTATTAATTCATTTATTCAACAGATAGATATTAAATTCAAGGCATAGTTCTAAACTATGCAGTCAATTACAAAAAAATAATGAAGGGCATTAGCTGTGCCTCATAGGACGTTAAAACTCTAGGTGCTGAATGAGACAAATAGGGTTCCCACATCAAGTGCCTGGGCTCCTGTTATAACCTGGACTGTGCTTCCAATGACTTCTCTTGTTTCTGTTTTGGTAAACCCATCATTTGGCTTAGTCCCTATCCTTGCCATGCTCACCCACCAGTAGGTGGACTTCCTTGACCATAACTACAGGTATAGATCTTTGAGTTTCTTTTCAAATGTTTGCTTACTTTAGAGCTGCAGTCAAATGTTGTTTGGACCATAAGACTCTGAGGATGTGTGTGGTTGAAACTGTCTTGAGACTCAAAGAGCTATTGAGGAAGGGATTTGGTAGCTGAACTTTTTTGAAGTTTTTCTCTGTCTCTCACAATCTGGGTCTGAATAGCTTAATATATTGTTTAATTTCTACATCAATGATAGTTTAATAGGCATTCATGAAAATCAGTTCTGCTGGGAGTTTATTATCCTACTCCAATAGCAAGTAATGCATTCCTTAAATTTAATGTATGTATAAATTCTACATGGTAAGTGAAGCTGTCTTTATGAATTGCTGCTATAGAATATACTAGATTGTGTAGGTTTTAGTACAATCCAGGTAATTATCAAGCCTTTGTAATATTTTCAGGAAAGTGATCCTTTCACTTCAGTTTATGGAACTTGGAAAGTTTTCGGTTGTCACCCACTTGTTAGATCATAAACTTAATTATATGTGTCTGAATTTATTTTTCTATTTATAAATTTATCTGGATGTTTTCTCAAAGGTTTCCCAGATTAAAAACCTATGGCTTTGTAAAATTGAAACAGAAGTAATAAGAATTGTGTTAAAAAACAGAATCAGGCCAAGCATGGTGGCTTATGCCTGTAATGCCAACACTTAGGGAGGCCGAGGTGGGAGGATCATTTGAGGTCAGGAGTTCAAGACCAGCCTGGGCAACATGGCAAAACGCCACCTGTATTAAAAAAATACACAAATTAGCTGGCGTGGTGGTGAATGCCTTTATTCCTAGCTACTCAGGAGGCTAAGGCAGGAGAATAGCTTGAACCCAGGAGGCTGAGGTTTCAGTGAGTCAAGATAGAGCCACTGCATTCCAGCCTGGGTGAGAGAGTGAGATCCTGTATTAAAAAAAAAAAGAACAAAAGAAAAGAAAAATAAAGAAAACTAGAATCATACAATGAGAGAGATTGTATAGCCCTTTTAATTGTCCATAATGGATACATTTCTTTTTCTGTGTAATAGTTTATCAGCATGAAAATTTTCTTTTTCTGCGTAATAGTTTATCAGCATGAAAAACAAAGAGTCACTGAACACTGATAATTTTTTTTCTCTCTCTCTCTCATTTTTTCCTTTTTTTGGAGATGAAGTCTCACTCTGTTGCCCAGGCTGGAGTGCAATGGCAACATCTCTGTTCACTGCAACCTTCACATCCTGGGTTCAGGCGATTTTCCTGCCTCAGCCTCCCAAGTAGCTGGGATTCCAGGTGCATCCCGCCATGCCTGGATAAGTTTTTGTATTTTCAGTAGAGACGGGGTTTCATCATGTTGGCCAGGCTCGTCTCAAACTCCTGACCTCAAATGATCTGCCCGCCTTAGCCTCCCAAATTGCTGGTGATGATTTTCATTTAATGGTGTTCTACAAAGTGAGTTTAGGCAATGAAAGCACACATGTCATCTATAGTTTACCAGAAAGTAGTACCGGTCACTAGCATTGAAGCATACTCCTAACACTGGAAAATTTCTTCAGCAGCTAGAATTAATCTCAAATTTCGAGACTGGAGCAAAGACAAATTTGGTATGTGTTCATTCAGATTAGTAAATCTCCATGGTGTTTGAACTGTATATTATCAAATCTAAAATAAGTCAAAAGAGTTGAACAATATCTCATCTCTGAGAAAAAAATGCATTATTTTCAACAGATTTAAGACTGAATTTAAAATCCAACTGCCTATTCCAGTGTATGTTTCTCTAGAATAAGGCCAAGCCCTACAAATTTTGGATAGTGTCTTCCAAGTTGTATTTAAGTGATAATTGATAAATCTATGGTTTAGATACATATGGAATTCCATATAACTCTAGCTCCAGCCTTTGTGAGTAAAAATTGGCAGTGATCATGGCCTTAATGGGGGCATGTGGTTAATTGGAATTTTCAGTACCAAAAGTCGTCTTCTTACTAGTTTATCAGGGTACCCTATAATAGTATCCATAACTCATTGCCCACTTGTCTGTTTTGATTTCTTTTTTAAAAAGACAATTTTAAACTTAGAGGATTTGTACCTCAAGTCACATATGTGGCACATTTATAAAATAATCATGCCTTTGCATATTTTTCCTTTGATAACTTAGCTATATATCCAAGCCATTTATGTTTTTTAATTGCCACAAATATTGCACTGAAATAGAGCACTAGTTGCAAAAATGCCTGGTGTAACATTTCTTCTTGTTCTTGAAAGTTATTTTAATACCCCATGTTTAAGATATTCCTAGACAACTATATGTAACTATAATTATTTCTGCTAGGTAGAAACATCTTTGTGGTCAACATTTGTGAAGTGCCTTGTAAATAAAAATATGCTTGAGTTGAAATAGTATTTTGCAAATATAGCCCTAAATAGAGCTACTGATTTTTACCAAGAATTAAAGACTCCAAACTCTGTCTTTGTCTTTCAAATTAGGTTTATAGGAACATCTCATTACAATGAGCCAAAAGCCTATCTGATCATTAATGAGATAATTTTGACACTTCCAAATGACACAGTTAATTTGTAGTAGGTTTTTGAAGTGCAAATTGCATGTTTCTGTTTAAATAATGACAGTAAAATATGGACACTATCTATTCACACTCTATATACACAACTACAACTTGTCTCTAGAAGAAAAGTTTAATTTTTCAGGTCTCATCCACAAAATGAAGTGTTAATAAGCTGTATCTTTATTCTCATTTTTAAGTAATTTCTTCTTAACCATTGTATAACACTACCACAGTTTGTATGGAGATAAAATAACTCATGGTGAGAAATCCAGTTCTTTAAAAATCATTTTACCTTCAGTCAATTTTAGGATATCTATGGTTTTAGAGTAAGGACGAAAATTTATAAACATTTGTTAAATTATGCAACTGTTTTTGAAGATGTTTCAAAATTACATTTTCCTTATTTTACAACTAGTTTTCATGTATTCACAAATGAGACACATGAGAATTATTAATGCAAAAGCACAGCATATCAACAAAGTTTATAATGTAAATAGTTTAGTTAGGAAAGAATGTAATGAGTGAATTATCAAAGCTATTTTATTGGTTCCTAGATTTACCATAGAAGAAAATAAAGCAGTCTTATAAAAATTTCTCAACACTGAGTCCATTTAAGGTCTATTTTGTATGCCGTAAGTTCTAAAAAATGTTATTGCCGGTAAAAATAGGATGCCTATCTAAAATTGTCTTTTTAAAGGTTCTCTCTGATTCTTCTTCCTTTCCTATGTGTGCACAGAATACTGTCATCGTCTTGATTGGAACACTGTCTCTCTTTCTCAGAGGGTATACATTTGTAGAAGGGAGAAAATATTTGTTAATTTTGCTTCCTATAAGATAAGGTCTCAATGGTTGAAGGTCAGTTAACAAACATTTTTTTTGTCTTCATACTATTATCTTGGAATTACCAACTGGCTTCTATTTAGATTTTGAATTATGAAAGAAAAGAACTAGCATTTGTTAGAACTTACTGTGTTCCAGGAATTTTATTGATACCATTTCTTCTCATTACCACATTTGTTCTTTCAATTAGTCTTATTTTTTTCCATCTTAATAAGGTGGGACCAGAGGTTTGTAATATCCACTAACCCACTGTGGATTTCATGGCTTGCAAGAGGAAGAAAGCATGGTGGAACTCAGGTTTCTCTGATTGCAAATTCACATACTTTCATGTCTCCATGAAAAATAGAAAGGATAAATTGGGCTCTATTCTAACAAGAGAAACACAATTTTCCGACAGTTAAATGAATAATTCTTAAACCTCAAAAATAAAACGTAGCAAAACCTCAATTCAAGAGTAGACATAAAGGTTGTGGCATGGGTAGAAGGGACTTATGTCTAGTGACATAGATTTGCTATGCATATCTGACCAAAATCTCCCTCATGATTTTCAAATCAGATGCATAACTGCATTTAATGAGTTTCACGAATCATTAATATCAGGCTCTGAAAACAGGATCATTAAAAATGATTAAGATTTTCAACAACAAAGATTTTATCTAAATAGTAAGGAAATTATATTAGATGGCTCCATTCCCTGGGCAGTCTAGTTAATAATTCAACTTGTTCAAAGCTATAAAATATGGCAACTTAAAAAATTATGAAAGTTTTTCTAACTTATTCTTAAGGTAGTTGGCCATTCTTCCTCTTGGGAATAAGAAGGGCAGATTTTCTGTCGAAGCATTTTGCTATTGCTTTTCAATTTCCATTTATGGAAAATAGATAAAATATCAATTTTTTAGTTTTAAATTTAAAGTCAAAATGGAGATAATTAAGTATCTCCATTAATTAACTAAATATTAATTTTTCAAAAAATAGCATTTACTAAATTCTAATCAATCAATTGACTATTTTTATCCCTGGCTCAATGTAACTCTCTTTGACATACTCTTGTCTTAATTCTAGTTTATGTCAACAATGTGTAATCATAGATGACTCTTTGCCATTTTGATCTCTCAGTTCTATTAACACCTTTGATCTAACGATAATGTTTTCCAACAGAATTATTTCTACTCAAACTTCTGAGATGAAATTTGTTGGTTTAGTCTCACCCCAATCAATTTTTCAACTCTCAGGACACCAAATGGTGTCCTACAATTCAATTCAATCCTGAGACTATCTATCTGGAGATAGCATCAGATCCCACAAGTTCAGGGTTCAGGACCACAAGACTGCCACCCCCCCACCATTAGAGAGGAGTTGTGGGCCTGCCATACTCCTGACCAACTGGCTATAAATTAGCACTTCCATGGATTCCTTCCCCAGGTTCTATAATTTGCTAAGATGGCTCACAGAACCCAAGAAAGCACTTTGCTTACAGTTACTGTCTGATACAAATCAGGAACTGTCAAATAGAAGAGACACATAGGGCCAGGTATGGTGAAAAGGGGCACAAAGCTGCCATATGACCTCTAAGTATATCATTGTATCACCCTCCCAGCACCTCAGAGGTGATGGAGGAGAGGGCTGACAGTTTTAACCATCTAGTTATGCCTTCATGTTTCTGGTGTCAAGCACCCACCCTGAAGCCATACGGGTCTCCAACCACCACTCATGTCATGTCAATAGCATAAACTCAGGTATGGCTAAGAGGGACTTATGACTAGTAAAGGATGGTCCTCTCATCTCTATCAGGAAATTTCAAGTTTTAGGAGCTCTGTACTGTGAACCGGGGAGGAAGACCAAATAAGACATACACTAGACCAGTTGTGCTAACTACTGTGTGCCTCAAAATTGCCTACAGTTGTGTTACAATAAGAGATTGCTGAGACCTGCTATTGGAATTTCATATTTGGAAGATCTGGGGGTGTAACCTGAGAATATGCAGTTCTAGTAAGTTCCCAGGTGATGCTGTTGCTGCTAGCACAGGGACCACACTTCCAGAGGAACTGAGTGAAGCATCGTCGTTACTTATAATAGCAACTCCTCTGTAGTCACAATTTCATTCATCCCATTCTCTGAACTCCTCCTTTAATCATTCCCTTTCATACGCTGACATAAAATTTTTCAATCTCTCTGAGACCTCCAAACTATTATTTTATCATATTTATAATGACCCTTACCTACTGATGTACTCTATTTCCTGTTCTCCTGCCTAAATTCCGTGGCCAACCATTCCCAGGAAACTTCAACTTCCTTGTTTCTCTTTCACTTTGCTGAATCTAACCAGGAAAATAACCCTGGTTAGATCCAAATTTCCACCAAATCCCCACATATATTTGAGCAACTAGCTATATGGATCAAATTGAAAAATATCCCACTTGAAACTGAGAATCTGAGTGCCGCCTATCAATCAATCATACTACATATGTTCCAATCTATTCACTCTCTAATTTTCCTAGTTTTGTATCTTATCCTGTCTCTAATCCCTAACACTTCCCCAGAAATCCTCAATGTCTTTTTGGGTGTGCTTCCCTGAGAACATTGAATCACCCAAAGACAATTTCCACAGACTCCTGAAACCATTTAAACTCACTTTTCCATGCCTACACCCACATACTCTCCATTTTCACCTATTATTATCTGTGAAATAACTGGCCCCTATCTGTATATTGTCTGATGATGATTTCTATATTACAGGTGAAGAAAATGAGAATAGGGTTAGAGCTACTTTCTCATTATAGCATAGCTTAGAATCAAATCCACGCAGTCCACCACTGAAACTGGGGTTCCAAGTCAGTGTATTTGGAGAAGGAGAGCTAGTAGAAAAACAAGGATGAAAAGATCCAGGATGAAGTTTCTGATGGAAGAAAAGGACATTTTTACTATTATGAACTCCTTGAAGTAGACCTTAAGCATTCTCATCTAGACAAACATCCATTCATCCACTCCAGTGAGCTGATTAAGTTTTAGGATTTTAAGGGTCAGTGAACAATTATTACTCATTCAGCAATTAAAGAAGGATTAATATGAATATTATATTGGAGAAGTTTCATTTAAAACATATTTGATTGATTTTTGGCAATTGTCTTCTATCAGATCATTACCAATCCATATGAGTTGGTAGGAAGGGAGAAAACCCAAAACTTAACCAGATGCCTGAAGTTAGGGAATATTTTATAACCAACCCAGGGGGAAAAATGCTGAAAAGGGGAAAGATGAGGACAGAAAACACATTTCAAAGATTTTAACTTTTTGACAAAATGTCAATTCTGTGCAAGAAAAACTAATTGTGTGAATATAACTTTATCATTTACCTCTGCCAATGTGTTCAGAAATATTTAATTTATAAGTTTTATTAATAGTAGTTTGTTAACACAAAATTTATTCATCAAAGTATCTAAAACATTCTAAAAATACTAAAAATTTTCAATTTAAAGATTAAGCTAAACAGCTCTGTATATATAAGTAAGCTCAAACAAACGTGCATGCTCCCCAACAATAACACTGCTACAGATATTGACTGGTGGTTTTGGTTTCATTTCATTTTATAATGGCAAATCTGGTTAAGACCCAGATTCTGGGCTGGGCGCAGTGGCTCACGTCTGTGATCCCAGCACTTTGGGAGGCTGAGGCAGGCAAATCACAAGGTCAACAGATCCGGACCATCCTGGCCAACATGGTGAAACCCCATCTCTACTAAAAAAACATACAAAAATTAGCTGGGTATGGTGGCACGTGCCTGTAGTTCCAGCTACTTGGGAGGCTGAGGCAGGAGAATCGCTTGGACCTGGGAGGCAGAGATTGCAGTGAGCAGAGACTGTGCCACTGTACTCCAGCCTGGTGACAGAGAGAGACTACATCTCAAAACAAAACAAAATCCCAGATTCTGAATTGAATCTCACAATAAGGATCTCAATTGTCTCAAAGAAAATAAAATACCTAGAAATCCAACTTACAAGGGATGTGAAGGACCTCTTCAAGGAGAACTACAAACCACTGCTCAATGAAATAAAAGAAGATACAAACAAATGTAAGAACCTTCCATGCTCATGGAAGAATCAATATTGTAAAAATGGCCATACTGACCAAGGTAATTTATAGATTGAATGCCATCCCCATCAAGCTACCAATGACTTTCTTCACAGAATTGGAAAAAACTACTTTAAAGTTCATATGGAACCAAAAAAGAGCCTGCATTGCCAAGTCAATCCTAAGCCAAAAGAACAAAGCTGGAGGTACGACGCTACCTGACTTCAAACTATACTACAAGGCTACAGTGACCAAAAGAGCATGGTACTTGTACCAAAAGAGAGATAGAGGCCAATGGAATGGAACAGAGCCCTCAGAAATAATGCTGCATATCTACAACTATCTGATCTTTGAGAAACCTGACAAAAACAAGAACTAGGGAAAGGATTCCCTATTTAATAAATGGTGCTGGGAAAACTGGCAAGCCATATGTAGAAAGCTGAAACTGGATCCCTTCCTTACACCTTATACAAAAATTAATTCAAGATGGATTAAAGACTTACATGTTAGACCTAAAATCATAAAAACCATAGAAAAAAACTAGGCAATACCATTCAGGGCATAGGCATGGGCAAGGACTTCATGTCTAAAACACCAAAAGCAATGGCAACAAAAGCCAAAATTGACAAATGGGATCTAATTAAACTAAAGAGCTTCTGCACAGCAAAAGAAACCACCATCAGAGTGAACAGGCAACATACAGAATGGGAGAAAAGTTTCACAACCTACTCATCTGACAAAGGGCTAATATCCAGAATCTACAATGAACTCAAACAAATTTACAAGAAAAAAACAACCCCATCAAAAAGTGGGTGAAGGATATGAACAGACACTTCTAAAAAGAAGACATTTATGCAGCCAAAAAACACATGAAAAAATGCTATCACTGCCCATCAGAGAAAAGCAAATCAAAACCACAATGAGATACCATCTCACACCAGTTAGAATGGCAATCATTAAAAAGTCAGGAAACAACAGGTGCTGGAGAGGATGTGGAGAAATAGGAAAACTTTTACACTGTTGATGGGACTGTGAACTATTTCAACCATTGTGGAAGTCGGTGTGGTGATTCCTCAGGGATCTAGAACTAGAAATACCATTTGACCCAGCCATCCCATTACTGGGTATGTACCCAAAGGATTATAAGTCATGCTGCTCTAAAGACACATGCACACGTATGTTTATTGTGGCACTATTCACAATAGCAAAGACTTGGAACCAACCCAAATGTCCAACGATGATAGACTGGATTAAGAAAATGTGGCACATATACACCATGCAATACTATGAAGCCATAAAAATGATGAGTTTATGTCCTTTGTAGGGACATGGATGAAGCTGGAAACCATCATTCTCAGTAAACTATCGCAAGCATGAAAAGCCAAACACCGCATGTTCTCACTCATAGGTGGGAATTGAACAATGAGAACACATGGACACAGGAAGGGGAACATCACACACTGGGAACTGTTGTGGGGTGGGGGGAGGGGGGAGGGATAGCATTAGGAGATACACCTAATGTAAATGACGAGTTAATGGGTGCAGCACACCAACATGGCACATGTATACATATGTAACGAACCTGCACGTTGTGCACATGTAACCTAAAACTTAAAGTATAATAATAATAATTTAAAAAAGAAATGAAAACACACACACACAAAAAAAACCAAACACACACACAAAAAAAAGAAAAAAATAAGGTTCTCAAAGAGGTCAATATGTATATAATCTATTCTTAAAAAAATTTTCTCCAATTGTTTATTGAAATATCACACAGGCTCTGACTTTGTTTATACCCTTAAGAAGTACGTAGATTTATGTGTAGCTTTTGTAAAGTGAAAACTCAGAATGTCTACTCTGTTCTGGTACCACTTTAGTTTAATTGTTGGAAAATATTTAATAAAAATGAATTACTCAACAAATGGAAAATTTGAACTTTGCATACTAAATTTTTACTTCATATTATCAACTCTTGAAAAATAAGTGTGTCTATTAGAAATGACACTCATTTGACTATACCATAATGTATTTCAGACTTTTTATCTTCAGCTACAGAATTTCTCTGTCCTTTGAATTATGTTAGCGGGCTTTATTTGGCCAGTATTTGTGATCCACCTCCACTAATTCGCAACTCTATTATCTTACCCCCAGGGATGCATTTCCATAGTTCTGCCTTGTTATGAGTGTCATTTTTTTCTTCTGTTTTGTTGACTGCCATTCAAGTAGTTTTGGCTTTATCAGAGATTTTCACTTTATTGTTTATCACCTCCTCATTTTTTTTAGCTTCTCATAATTTACTGTATTATATCTACCTGGGCTTTTGGTTCCTTTACAGGTTTGTTTCATTTTATTTTTAGCTTATGATACTTCTAAAGTCTGTACCCTTTTAATTTTCACTTGCTTCATCGTCACATTCTTGTGTTTTGTTTTTATTTCAAAATACCACAAAGTAGGATGTCTCAGCATCTTGGTGAGTGGAATAGTTTATTTATAATCCAAAAAACCCCCATACTTTTTGTGAGCTATCTGCTTCTGAGTAAAAATTTTATATAAAAATTCTTGAAAAAAAATCTTAAACTTCTGAAGGATTGAATGAGATTTTAAAAATCATTCTATACAACAGGTGCAAAATTTTTATTCCTCTACTCAAGAGAAACAATGAACATTTGTTATTCATTTACTAACATCTAAATGTTAATGTATTCAATTATACATTATTAAAACACGATTAAGCTTAAGAGGTGGAAAAGTATAAAACAAACAAGTGTATAATTTACCTTTATTAATATGAAACATCTTTTTCTCTCCTGAAAATAAAGATTAACCAGTGGTGTGCTGAGGCGGGAGGGGGTGTGTTGGAGGGAGAAAAGCCATGATTTGCCAATTTCAGCACAAAACTGAAAATGGTTATTAATCTTTACTAGCCCCAGATATCTTTTAACATATATTGAAATCTATGACCCTTAAAAAGAAAACATATATATAGATTTTGACAAAACTTTGCAGTTCCACTCATGGATCCCTGTGTAAGAATCGTTTTTCTATGTGTGTTTGCAATTTAAAGAGTTCAGACTTTATGATTCACAGGTGACAACTCATGATTTAATCTGAACACTTAGGCTTTTATAATTTGGGAGTCAGGTGTTTAACTGCTGTAGTAGTAACTGCTTCTTCTCAGAGAAACTTAGTAGCTAAGACCAGGAAAATGTCCCTTGGTGTGCAACACACCTCTTCTTTCTGAACGTACCATATAAGACGCTAACTTTGTCTCAAAGTTTATATGACTTTTGCATTTGCATTACTAGCTATTTTCTTTTGGAACTGTAGGACTTGGAGACCTTTCCCTCTACCCTCTGAAGGTATGATAACTGAGTCTATTGAATAAATGGATAACAGGCATGTCAAAAGAAGAAAATGTGTACACATTTATTACACGCATGGGGGAATCACAGGAAAGAAACGTGGAATCAAAAACAAAACAAAACAAAACAAACAAAACACCACCAAGAAAAAAACCCAGGGAGATTTAGGAGCTTGTAGGGAAGGCAGGAGGAAGAATGTAGGAAACTTAAGGGAGAGCAAATGACTTTTGGGAAAGATGACCAGACCCCTAGGAGCATAGATGATAGTTTGTGGCAGTCTGCCTTGGTGTGGAATGGACTCTTAGTCTTGTCTCCTGTGATATGAGGAGTCAATTTTCCCTGGCTGATGAAACTCCTAGGAAGGAGATGAATGTCTTTGTGCTGACAAGACAGTATCTTGAAGCTTTGTTTTCCAATTCAGTTCTAAATCTGCAGTGTATAAAAATCTCCTCATCATGCTTTGGATGTTATGGTAGATAAATGGTATCTTTACAAAGATACATTCATTCTGGTATTGAAAATTCCTTTTGGAGGATCTCTCTTGAGGAACGTAAAGGGAGTGCAGAGAAAGCATGTCCCACAGTTGTTATTTTTCAAATATTTTCAGTTCAATATAATCAGTACACCAAAGCAATACATTTAGGACTGGCATTTCCTGAACACCTTCAGAACTCTTTTTATCCCATGTTATTTCTATGAGATCACGTGATTTAAGAACAACTTTTACTTGCCACTTACATATATATTGAAAAGGCAAACTTTCCTTTCATAGTTTGCTAATTTTGGCAAAGTACTTTAACAAAAGTTAAATTAAGTAAGTGAAATTTTCTGTTCTATTGTTTTGAAAAGAATTCTAGAAACTGTCCTTGTAAGAACAGCAAAAAGAGAAAAAGATAATTCTCCACTGCAGCTTCAACCACTCTTTGCGTAACAATGTATCTAATTAAAAGGCAAAACTCTCTATTTCAGGTTTATATGTATCAATTGCTTGATTAGAAAGTAAATTATTTACCCCATATAATCTGGTGTCAAAAAACTTATAACAAAATTACTTTGATTTTATTGCTTATAAGTTTGTGAATTTAAATCTCAACTGACAGTGATGAATTTATTTGCTTTGTGCTGACAAGACAGTATGTTGAAGTTTTGTTTTCCAACTCAGTTCTAAATCTGCAGTGTATCAAAATCTCCTCATTATGCTTTGGATGTTATGGTACATAAATGGTATCTTCACAAAGATATATCCATTCTGTTACTGAAAGTGCATACTTAAAATTCTTCATGAACAGTTTTATTGAAAAAATATGTAGACAAGCCATTAATTATACACAGTGATCTGGAATAAATTCTTACAAGAAGCCTAGCATGTCTTCCATTAACTGTATACAATTTATAAAAAGTTATTGAAAGTCTTCCTGAGGTTAAACAATAAATCTTTTAAATTTAATCACTGTGCTTCCTCAAAGGTAGTTTTTTCTTTATGTCACTCAGGGGATACAGTCAGATCTCAGCCTACTTTAAACAACTAGGCAGTATTTTTAGTGCACTTTTCTGTTTGTTAAAAAGCTAGTTGTCAAGAATAAGTTGCTCAATTATCTTCCTCAATTACTTTTTATTTTGTTTTATAATTATTATTCTATTTTGGTTTTCCTTTAGAATTGTGGACTATCTTGAATCAGAAATTGCAGAGAATATATAAATAAGTAAGAATGCACTCTTCAATCAAACTAGATCTCGAAAGTGTTTTGTTGTAGTTTATACCTTGAATTCGAAGGCCATTCTATACAAGATGCTTGAAAAATTTTCAAGCTCTTATATTTCATAATAGTACAGAATTTATTGTTCTTTTATTTGCAAGGAGATAGACCAGATAAAATATCACTTTATTTTTTACAGTGATGACTTTGATATTCTAAACTTGTCAGTTTATACAGATTAATGAAGACTCCATACATGTAAAATTCACTATAATTTTTTTCTAGTATGACAGTCCAAACAAATAGTAACTACATACCCAAACAGGTAAAGTAAAAATATACAATAGCTTGACAAAAAAAAAAAAGAAGAAAAAAGATACCCCTATACATTCCTTAACATTCTAAAACTCTGAGGACCAAATTGGATTCAAAAGAAACATTTCTGGTGGGCAGGGAAAGGGCTAAAAAGCTAAAGTATATAATAAGTAAATTCCTCATTGCTGTAACATATATGACCAGCATGACATTTCAATACATGTTCAAGTTTTCTGAAAAAACTTCTAGGATAATAGGATTTCAACTTTTGATTCTACAGATATCATTCTTGTGATTGGTATGGTAGAATCATCCTCTTCATGTATTAGAGGATTCAAATGAAAAAAAATCAGGCAGCTAGTTCCTTTCCAAGAAGCCTTAGAGATTGTTGTACATAAAAATATGAACCATATTTCTGATTCAAATTTTAATTAGAGAATTCTCTTTATTCCCTCTTCTGCATAAAATTATGCACTTGCTCTCTGCTCTCCAGACAAGTAAAACTTCTTACCTGATATAATTTGAGATAATCAAGACTCAGAACATATTATCTCCTAGCTGAAAGTCCCAATAAACTTCTCAGGACAAAAACAGCAAAAAGGTAAATATGCAGAGATAGAGTATAAAACAGTGGTTACCAGGGGCTGGGGGTGAGAAGAGAAAATGGAGAGAGAGAATTC